>NT_167244.2:1394223-1501665 GCF_000001405.40 Homo sapiens
GGCCATCTCTCCAGGTCTAGAGCCAGAGAAGATGATCTGAAATTGTAGCAGGAGAAATTGAGGTAGGATACTAAGAAAGCTTTTCAGGAGTGGGGCTAGGCAAGAGGTGCAGCATGAGGGAATAAGAGTGAATCCTCAGTATCTAAGGGAGGTGGCAGGTGGCGGGGGACTTCTTTCTTTGGGTCATCTTTGGTGGTGATTTGACAGGAAGGAACAAAGTGGCTTCAAACATTATACAAGTCTCTAGTCTGTTCTGTGTCCTGTTTTCTTTCTCATTCTTTCAGTGTGGAATCTATATGACCCTGGGAGGGATGTTGGTTGGAAGAATGACCAGCTGATGGAGATGCTGCTGTAATTATTGGTGGTAATAATGGGCAGCAGTGAGCCACCCGGTGTGACAGTGTAGGAGAAAACAGTCCAAACTCCTGCCAAACTCTCTCTACTGATGGCAAATCAGAGGAGACTCAAATTGTAAGTTTATAGTGGTCTGGCTTTTGGCCATGACAATGACACCTTGCCCTTTTAATTTGGGGCCCGTGCAAATATTCACTGAAAGCTGTCAAGAGGAAAACAGAATTGGTTATTGAATCACTTGCTTCCTCTAGGTGTATGAAAAATAATTTCAAGTTTAACAAACACAAGGAAACCGCAGGGTCCATGTCAAAGCTGATGAGCTATTTCTGAAACTCGTGAAGAATTGTGGTTTGTGTGGTCTATGTCACGGCACCCTTGAGGGAGAGTGGGCAATTGCCTGAACTTGGAGGCTGTGTCCTGTCCCCAGGCTGCTCCAGGGCTGCCTCCTTCCGACTGGGCCTTCTTATCTGGGACTGTTGAGGGCAACAGGCCTTCCGAAGACCAGTGAAGAAGGAGGCCCTGCAAACAGGAGGCTGACAGGGTAGGAACGAGGCCATGATCCCTTTGCAGAAGGACAACCAGGAGGAGGGTGTCTGCCCCATCTGCCAGGAGAGCCTGAAGGAGGCCGTGAGCACCAACTGCGGACATCTCTTCTGTCGAGTGTGCCTGACACAGCATGTGGAGAAGGCCTCAGCCTCTGGGGTCTTCTGCTGCCCCCTCTGCCGGAAGCCCTGTTCTGAGGAGGTGCTAGGGACAGGCTATATCTGCCCCAACCACCAGAAGAGGGTGTGCAGGTTCTGTGAGGAGAGCAGACTTCTTCTATGTGTGGAATGCCTGGTGTCCCCTGAACACATGTCTCATCATGAACTGACCATTGAAAATGCCCTCAGCCACTACAAGGTAAGCCTGGGTCACCGCAGCCAGGCCCTGCCTCCACCTCGCTGAGGTGCTGCATCCTACATGTTCATCATGCCTGGCACCTCAGAGTAGCTCAACAATGGACATCTCTCTTTGTTTCTTCTGCTTCATCCTGTTTTGGACCCTTGTCTTGCTTTTCTGTGTATATTTTGAGGCTGATGTTTCCATGCATTAATGTGAGTCTGTCTAAAAGAGGATATTGTCAGTGTGATGTTAGAGTCCCAGTCTGCTCATCTGTAGAATAGAGTAATTGGACTAACTAATGCAAAACCCTTTCAGGACTAAAACTGTGTGAACTCCTGGTTGATAGTACTAGAAACTTGGCTAGAAATGTAATCAGGTTTTATATACACTAGTAATTATCCTGCAAATATATTAAAACCTGAAAGTTACTACATAATTTTTTCTCTCTTTTTCTTCCTTCTGCATTTGTCTTATCTTTCCTTTTCCTTTCTTTGCTATGGCAATTATTTTATCTTATTCTGTTAAATTTTCTATCACAAAAGTTACATGCTGTAGGTAATAAATTCAGAAAGCACTGAAAGGTATAAAGTCAAGACTAAAAATTTGTCTTCCTTTCTCCCTCCATTCATAGTCCTCAGAGGTAACCATTGTTTGATTTTTGTACATCCTTCCAAAAAATGTGTGTGCTTATGAATGCACTCTTACACACACACACACACACACACACCCTCAAAGGATTCTCTCTATATTTTTTTCTGTAACTCATTTTTGTTATCTAAAAGTGTGGCTTGAACATTTTCTCATCAGCATGTATAGATCTTCTGAATTATTTTCAAGAACTGTGTGGTATTAAATTCTATGAATGTACCATAAATTGGCAGACATTGGGTCATTTCCAAGCTATTGTTTTGTTTTAAGATTACACAGAACGTTCTAATGAATATCCTTCAACATATATATTGGAGGACCTAGAATATCCAAGATATATTTTGGTGAGAGCATAAGGTAGAAATCTAACTTTAGTTTTTCCAAGTTATAATCAATTTGTCCTATCACCATTTGTTGAATGATTCATATAGTTTCCCCATTGATTTGAATGCCAATGTCATAATATACCATATATGCATATTTTCTTGCATACTGCCTTGATTCTTTGTGCTGTTCTATTCTGTCTATGCTTGCCTATAAGCCAAGGTATTTTAGAGATTTTATCCTTACCATATATTTTAATGTCAGGTATTTTGATAGAATCCTCACAATACTCTTATTTTTCAGAATTCGTGCAGATATTTGTATATCTTTATTTTGCCAATTAGCTTTGGAATTATTTTTATCAACCTTTCCCCTGACCCTAATCCAGTTAGTATTTGACTGGACAATTGACAATATTTTCACATGGCATCCTTCTATCCAATAGTGAAGGCTGAACTTCCAAAGCTGAGGTAGCTTTGAGATACTTGACTTTTGGAGAACATGTTATGATACAGAATGAGAAAGTGGGGAGTCCAGATTAAAAGTGACTACAGAAAGGTAGAGAAATAATTGAAAAAGCCAGAGGCAAAGTTCTATTTGGTTCTAACATCATTCCCTCCAGGTGCAATGTCCACAGGAGAGTGGGGAGGGATTCCTCACCTGCCGATGAAGCAGCATAAGATGGAGAAATTTATTTCCTCACTAAATGATTTTTTCAGGTCTGTCCTTTGTGTTAGATGTCATGCTAGGCATTGTAGAAAGTACAAAGATGATTCATAATTCTTGTTTCAAATCTGTCTTTAAATAATGACAAGAAAGCTAAAACAAATAAATAACGATGACACTTGTTCATTAAGTAAAAACTTAGTAAGTTCCTGCTGTGTGTGAGAAACTGCAGCATGTGCTAGGAATCAATGAAGACAGATGCCATTCCTTCTGCCAGGAGTTTGCAGTGTAGTAAGGGAGACACAAATAAGTAATCAAAGAACTGTAACTTTTTTTTCTTTTTTTTTTTTTTTTTTTTTTGAGATGGAGTCTCATTCTGTCACCCAAGCTGGAGAGCAGTGGCATGATCTCGGCTCACTGCAACCTCCGTCTCCCAGGTTCAAGCAATTCTTTGCCTCAGCCTCCCGAGTAGCTGGGATTACAGGCACCCACCACCAGGCCTAGCTAATTTTTGTATTTTTAGTAGAAACAGGGTTTCACCATCTTGGCCAGGCTGGTCTTGAACTCCTGACCTCATGATCCATCTGCGCTGGCCTCCCAAAAGAACTGTAACTTTTTATTAGTTAGGAAGAAAATAAACAAGGGTCTGGGATGAACAGTAATGGGTGGCCCATGTCCATTTGGTCAGTGAGGGCCTCATAGAGGAAGTGACCTTGAAGCTGAGGGCTGGCAGAAGAGAAATCAACCTGCAAAGACAGGGGGTAGGGAGTGCATACAGATGCCCACACCTGAGAAGTCTTGTTATATTTGAAGAATTTATCATTAGAGTTTGAATCGACAGGACTTACTGAGAGATTAGAAGTGGGTTCTTTGTAAGAAAAAAACAACCCCATCAAAAAGTGGGCAAAGGATATGAACAGACGCTTCTCAAAAGAAGACATTTATGCAACCAACAGACATATGAAAAAATGCTCATCATCACTGGTCTTTAGAGAAATGCAAATCAAAACCACAATGAGATACCATCTCTGCCAGTTAGAATGGCAATCATTAAAAAGTCAGTAAACAACAGATTCTGGAGACGAAGTGGAGAAATAGGAACGCTTTTACACTGTTGGTGGGAGTGTAAATTAGTTCAACCATTGTGGAAGACAGTGTGGTGATTCCTCAAGGATCTAAAACCAGAAATACCATTTGACCCAGCAATCCCATTACTGGGTATATACCCAAAGGATTATAAATCATTCTACTATAAAGACACATGCACACGTATGTTTATTGTGGCATGGTTCACAATAGCAAAGACTTGGAACCAACCCAAATGCCCATCAACGATAGACTGGATAAAGAAAATATGGCACATATACACCATGGAATACTATGCAGCCATAAAAACAGATGAGTTCACGTCCTTTACAGGGACGTGGATGAAGATGGAAACCATCATTCTCAGCAAACTAACACAAGATCAGAAAACCAAACACCACATGTTCTCACTCGTAAGTGAGAGTTGAACAATGAGAACACGTGGACACAGGGAGGGGAATATCACACACCAGGGCCTGTGAGGGGATGGGGGGTAGGGGAGGGATAGCATTAGGAGAAATACCTAACGTGGATGACGGTTTGATGGGTGCAGCAAACCACCATGGCACGTGTATACCTATGTAACAAACCTGCATGTTCTGTCCATGTGCCCCAGAACTTAAAGTATATATATTTTAAAAAGTGGGTTGAAGGAAGGAGGAAGGTCAAAGATGACTTCATGAGTTTCTGGTTTGAGAAACTGAATAGATGATGTGAAAGATAATAACTTGGTAGAACAGGTTTGAATGCAACACCAAGAGTTTCATTTAAGACAAGTTGAGTCCAAGTTGAGACACATCAAAATAGGATCTTACATACGCAGCTGGATCACAAATTTAGATCTCCAGAGTCTTATTCCTAGAACCTAGAACAAAGATCCATCCAGGCAAAGACAATATTTAAATCCAAGAAAAGCGGGCACGGTGGCTCACACCTGTAGTCCCAGCACTTTGGGAGGCCAAAGTGGGAGGATCGCTTGAGCCCAGGAGTTCAAGACCAGCTTAGGCAACACAGTGAGATACTATCTCTAGAACAACAACAGCAACAACAAAGTGAAATTAACAGGATTTAAAAAAAAGAACGTGACAATTTGGGGCTGGGTGCAGTGGCTCACGCCTGTGGTCCCAGCTACTTGGAAGGTTGAGGTGGGAGGATTGCTTGAGCCCAAGAGAGTGAGGCTGGAGTGAGCTGTGATTGTGCCACTGCACTGCAGCCAGGAAGACAGAGCAAGACCCTGTCTCAAACAAAGAAACAAACAACCAAGAAACCAAGGAAACTGATGTAATTGCCTCAAAAGAGGCTAGACAGAAAAAGAAGTTTTGGGGTAAGGTTCTGGGAAAGGCCGTCATTTAGATGTAGGCAGAGGAGGACCCAGCAAAGGAGACAGGATGAGTTGCCAGAAAGGCAGGAGAAAAACAAGGGGAATGGTGCCCCAGCTGCTAAGAGAGAAGGGTATTTTAAGAGATTATAATAGATTGCATTGAACAATGCTAACACTTCAGTAAGATGGTGGCAGAGGCATGAGAGCTGAGTTGGGAGGAGGCACACTTCTTCCATAGTAATAACAGGGAACAAGAGAAGGTGTCTGCAAGCCTACATAGTTTTGCAGTTTTGGAAATCCAGGTTTTGTTCTGGTTTTTATTTTCTCATAATATTTGAGGAAGGAACATCAGCAGTATGGGTGGGATCAGGATGGATGTGAAAGGTTTGAAAAGAAACAAGATGGTGTGATGCAGTGTGGGAGAGCGCTTACAAGAGAAACTATGTAGGGTTGGCAGACAGTATGTAGCACCAATTTGAGGTCTGAAATGTTTAACATGTTTCAGGAGGCTGCCTGAGGACAGACAGCAAACAAGAAGGTGATGGTACATTTTACCATGGATAAGGAGTTGTCTGAAAAGTAACACAAAGAGGGAGGGTAAGGGAGTTGAGTATATTTCTGAAGAAGTGATTATAATGGTGGACCTTATGTGTACTCATGGATATTGACAGCGTAATTTTGAAATTAAGGAGGGTTTTTTTTTACTGATTTTTTCACCATATCTCTATTTATTTGAATTAAACTTTGTAGTTAAGTATTGTAAATTTTGTTCTTTTAAAAGAATCATATAATCCCTGACTGTACTCTAAAAAGACCGAAAAATTTATAAAATCTACAAATTCTTATTTGTATACCTGTTTCCTCACTGACCAGTCAATGTCAGTGTCAATCACTTTAATGTATTTTGCTGGTTTAGTAAGTGTGTGACAGTGATGTACGTTGTTTTACTTTGCTTGATTATGAATGCTAGTAGTGGTGAGGCTTTTATCCATGAAGACTCGCTGTCTGCATTTTCCCCTAGAATCAGGGCATAAATTCTACATGATTGCATCAAAATAGTTTATCTTTTGGATAATGAGCTCCATTAGTTGTGTTTGTTTAACCTACATTTTTTTATTCTGTTATTTCTTCTTAATTATATTTTTGGGCAACTTTTTAGAAATTTGCATTTAAATTGGCTCTATTCTTTTTTATAATATAATCTCCATGTCTTAAATACACAGAAATTTGTTTAATATGAGTGTGCTGCTCTGTTTTATTTTTAAAGGTTTATTAATTCCTGGCTTACTTGGAATTTCATATAGTATGTTGTGTGAAGGATGACTCCACGTTAATTTTTCTTTATTCTGGTATCCAGTTGTTCCCAAAATATTTATATAACAGTGAGTCCTTTCCACATTTACGTGTTGTTTCTCGCTTGACATCAATTAAGTTCTCATGATGGGCTGTTTTTTTTTTACTCTAGTCCATTGATTATTCTTTCTGTTATATAGTTTTGACAACATGTTACTTTATGGTTTATTTTTAAATCTAGCAGCATTTTTGCCATTTAATAATTTTATTACCTGATATTTTTGCTGTCTTTTAAGATGAGTGCTTTTTTACAATGTTTCTAAATTTCATAGATCATTCCATAAGATTTTAATGGTTATTGCATTAAATTTGTTGATTACTAAGAATCATGACTTTTGGGGGTTTAGTTAGTCTTCTCAACCAGTACCAAGATACATCACTAACGGCTTTCCACTATGTATCTGAATCAGATATTAAATTGTCTTTACTTAAACCTCATGTGCCCTGACTCTATTGAGGGTAGCTATGTATTTTACAACACTATTTTTTTTGACAATTTTTACTTGTAGATTCAAATGAGATTCTTTGCTGAGCTCATGTATTTACCATACATTTTTAAAAATTTTCTGACATTTTCTAGATCATAATTGTGTGAGTGATGTTGTTTTTAATTCATATTTTTGGACACAGTTCTGTAAGGAGCATGCATTTTGAAAGCTGTTAATTTTTCTTTTTTTTTTTTTTTTTCAGTGTCAGGGATAGGTACTTTTTGTCTGTTAACCACTTTTCTTTTGTACATTGTGTTAGCAAGTTGTTTAAGAACAAATTTAATGCCCTTTTTTGTCAGATTTTAAAAATTTAATATGATTTAACCTGAATGACAGAATTTTAAAATATTCATTTAGACAAGACAGGTCTTCGACTATTTTCTAGATTTCAACTTGTCTTTTTTTCTCTGAGGAATATTTTGGTAGGTGAAAGTGTATAGAATTTAGCTTTTCAATTCTAATGAGTGTCTTATTTATATTATATGCACCCATTAAATACCTTTATGCAAAAATTGGTGAAAAAGTACTTTTTAGAAACAGAGGACTTTACCTTACTCATTTTGAATATTGTAAACAATATGACAGTATTATCTTCAGTCATTCTATGCCTTTATCTTTATTACTGTTATCTTTGCCTTCTTTTTTTCATTTACACAGTGTCTGTAGTTGGCTTTATTAAATTTTAAACTGCCAGATGATAGGACTGTGGCTTTTTGAACTGGACCTTAATAGGCCTGACTTTGACAGGCAGAAAAATAAAGCACTCCTGACAGAGAGAAGTAAAAGGCCATGAGGAGGTGTGGCTGCACGGGTGTGTTTGGGAAGCAGAGAGCAATGTTGTGTGCTGGTGAAGAGAGTTCAGTGAGCAGAGAGAGAATCCCGGACAATGTCAGTTGGGGCTGGGTCCTGGGGCACCTTGGATGCTGGGTGAAGGAGTTTGGGCTTATCTTTGTTGCTGAGAAGCCATTTTGAAGGGAGGACTAACATCAACAAAGGTGAAATGTGACAGATTTCAAGCTGAATGGCAGGCAGAATGGCAGTCCCAATGTCAGAAACATGAAGGTCAAGAGGAGTGGACTGCAGAAGAGCTTGGGGAACTGGGCAGCATGTTTGATTCTACCATATTGATTTTGAGCTGCCAACAGGGCAGTAGGCAGCACTTAGCTCTCACTTGGAAGCATGAGATGGATTGCTAGGAAAAAAGATTTGGTTTTGGAATTCTAAGATCTGAAGGCTCCAGAAAGGAAAGCTAAGGACATAGTCTGAGATAGAAAAGGGTTGAGGAGCCAACTTCAAGGCTCCTTTTTACAGAAAAAAATGAAGAGGCAAAGAAGCAGTGGCAGAAGGCACAGGTCTAGGAAGGATGGGGTGGAGAGGAGGTACAGAAAGGCACCTGCGGATTTCATGGCTGGAGATCTCAGGTGACTTTGGAGAGAGAGGCTTTAAAGGAGTGATGAGAAACAAGGCGGCTGGCTGAGGAATGACGACAGTGAGGAGGTGAAGACAGCAACACCAAACAACTTGACTGTGAGGGCAGCAAGTGAGTAGATGCAAGCGGTGAAGGCTGTTTGTGCTTTTCAGGACATGAACTCTTGTGCTCGCACAAACAGTTCCACACCAGCCTGCCACCTTCTTCAGCGAGACTCATGAGCGACATCCATGATGCCCATTTATTACTTCCCACTCCTATGACTTTTTTATTTCGTCTCTGCTGGGAAATGCCTGCAGGAAACACCCAGTGACGTGACACGTTTTTAGTAACTTTGTGGTGACATCACTGTCTTCTCTGCTTACTGCAGCTTTCTGTTCACCAAATGCCCTTGCTGACCCCTCACACACACAGTCCTTTGACCTTGATTTCACCAGGAAATTCTCAGGCTGGAAAGAACTTTCAGTTGTCTTCACCATCCCCTGACTTCTACCTGTACATCTCCAAAATCTCCTCAAAAAAGATTAAAAAAAAAAAATCTGAAGTGGGAAAGATTTAGTGAAACACACACTTTTCAGCTAATAGCACATCCTGATCTTTAGTTCACAAATCTCTTCTCGTTTTGTTTTCTATTTTATCATTCACCCTCCAACTGCCCCCCGAACCATGGGCAGCCATTTAAAGCATTTGTTGTTATTTTTGCTTCTCTTATAGGTCATCAAAAACCTGAAAGCAAAATTTTTTTAGAAACTCAAATCATTCTTTAACTCCATAGCTTCAAGGACACAGCGACACATCCAGATGCTGATTTAAGATTGAGAGAGAAGGCACTGCCTACCTGGGCTATGAGTTTGCACCTAGTAAAGGGCTCTATCTTGTCACTCATCCCAGTGAGGACCAGGCAGCAGAGGTAGCAGAGGGTTGCCATTTCCTCTTTAAGGCAATTCCCTCCAGACTGGCTCCATGTGTTACTGTAAAATAGTAAGAAGTGCTAGAAGACTGTCATATAACTTTTGTATGTTGAGAGAAAGCACCCTGAAGTCAAGTAGAAATGGTTCTGTTGCTATCTATTATTTTTTCTGTACTTCTAAGACTGTAAAAAAATTACCCATTACTATTTCCCCCCATCATTATCCAATAAATAAACTCTCAAGTCCCTTACTCCAACCATGATGCTCTAAAAGCATTTCTTTTTAGGCAGAATTTTACATTAGTTGCATTCTGGGATCAGGCCCCCTACCGTGTTCCATTGACTCCTCCCAGTGGGTGCCCCCCTCACTCCCAGTCTGACAAGCAGGTGTGTCTGTCTCTTTAGGAACGACTCAATCGCCGGAGCAGGAAGCTCAGAAAGGACATTGCAGAACTTCAGCGGCTCAAGGCTCAGCAGGAGAAGAAACTGCAGGCTCTGCAGGTGGGTTTTTCGGGTTCCTGGGAAGGACTCCCTGGAGTGTTCTCAGGAGCCCTTACTTAACTATTCTGGACATCTGTCTGTCCCTGGAACAGCCTGATGTGGGCAGATGGTCGTGGAGGCTGAAAACCCGGGTGTTGGCCTTGGCGTCAAAGTTTGCTGGTTGAGTGACCTACGCAAGTTAAGCCCTCTGATCTTTATGTGACTTACATGTTAAATGAGAACCAGTCCTGCTCTGCCTGGATCACAGTAGGGATCAAAGGAGACCAGTGTCTCGTCAACTGAAAATTACTACACAAGCCATAGGCCTCTGTTTCTTTTTATTTTATTTTATTTTTTTTTTGAGATGGAGCCTTGCTCTGTCGCCCAGGCTGGAGTGCAGTGGCACGAACTCCGCTCACTGCAAGCTCCGCCTCCCGGGTTCATGCCATTCTCCTGCCTCAGCCTCCCGAGTACTGGGACTACAGGCACTTGCCACCACGCCCAGCTAATTTTTTCTATATTTTAGTAGAGATGGGGTTTCACCATGTTAGCCAGGTTGGTCTCGATCTCCTGACCTCGTGATCCGCCCGCCTTGGCCTCCCAAAGTGCTGGGATTACAGGTGTGAGCCACCGTGCCCGGCCGCCATAGGCCTCCATTTCTGTCTCTGACAGTCTACCTTTCTATTCCTCTTGGTCACATGGCATCTGTAGATATTCAGAGAGTGAGGTGGAAAGGTGAGGTGTCCCTGCCTTTATGAGAATCAAAGCTGCTTCTGCTATACCTGTGACACACAGAGGCAACACCATGAGGGCAAGAGGACTGAGGAATCAGCATTCCTGCTCAGACATTCAGAGACTGTGAAGGGCCAGGAGGGAGCCACCTGACACTGAGTCTTAGGGAGCCCCTTTCCTGTAGTTTCAGGTAGACCACGGGAACCACAGGCTGGAGGCTGGGCCGGAGAGCCAGCACCAAACCAGGGAACAGCTGGGTGCCCTCCCTCAGCAGTGGCTGGGCCAGCTGGAGCACATGCCAGCAGAAGCGGCCAGAATCCTTGACATCTCCAGGGCAGTAACACAGCTCAGAAGCCTGGTCATTGATCTGGAAAGGACGGCCAAGGAATTAGACACCAACACACTGAAGGTGCATACCCTGAGGCCTTCCCCAAGGGCTGGGATTCTCCCCGATAGGAGGCAGCCCATCTGCATCACCCTTCTGGGAGGTGTAAGAGGGAGGGGCCTGTGTGATATGTGGTGACTTGTGGTAGATGTGGCTTGTTCCAGGCTACAGAGTGCTGCTGCAGCAGAATGGGCACAGAAGAGGGGTGTTGCTATGTTCCCCCAGTTCTCAAGGTGGCACCCCAGAGTGGCCTCCAAGAGTGAATTGGGAAAGGAATTTGGAGGTGATAGGAACCTGAGAACCAATTATGATTCTCACTTTTTCTCTCTCCTAGAATGCTGGTGACTTACTGAACAGGTACGAGCTGTCCCTTCTTCTTTCCCACATGTGCATATAAACCCACACAACACAGACATGCACAGAGGTCAAGGAGACCCACTGCTCCGTTAGCTTTTGTATCTTGATGCTACATGGCCAATGGAAGAGCCAATGGAATATATGAATACATATTAATCTATGAAAGATTTCTTTGTTTCTAGGAGTGCTCCACAGAAATTAGAGGTTATTTATCCCCAGTTGGAGAAAGGAGTCAGTGAATTGCTTCTTCAGCCCCCTCAGAAGCTCTGACCTGTTCATCCCTGGGACACCTCACTTCAGGCTCACCTCAGCCTCCTCTCTCTCCTTCCTCCAACCTGTCCAGGCCCCCACTGGGTCTACCCAGTGCATCTTCGGGCCTGCCAGCTCCTGAACATGTCACCATTTCTTCATGTCCACAGTCATCACCTGATGCCTGACCCTCTGACTCTTGGACGATAGCCAGCCTCCTTCCAGGACAGGCTCATGCTTGGGGCTGCCACTGTGGAGGTCGGGGCCCATGGTCTCCAGGAGCATTTGTGAAATCTCCATTTTGCCTGTAAACTGATGGTAGTGCCCATCTCTCACAATCTCATTCAAATAGGATCCTCCAGGCCTCTGAATGGCCCAAGCTCATCAGCAGTGACACCACCTCACATGTGGAGCCCAGCTGAGTTCCTGCAGTACTTGTTGTCTGTACCACTCACCTGGCACTTATTTATTATTGTTGTGGAAGACAGACTCAAAGACAGCCTCCCTTCGTGATCCTCACCTCTTGGAATTCATGCCCTTGTTTGGTCCCCTCCCCTTGAGTGTAAGTGGGATCTGTGACTTGCTTCTAATGAATGGAATAAGGCAAAGGTGATAGGGTGTCACTCTGGCAACTGTGTTGCATTGTATAGAACTCCTCCTTGCTGGCCCACCCTTTTAGAGCCCCTCCTAGGAGCCAAGAGCAGCTTCCAGCCAACAACAAGCAGAGGCCCTCAGTCTTGTGGCTGCAAGAACCTGAATTCTGCCAACAACCCGAGTGAGCTTGGAAGCAGATTCTTCCCCAACTGAGCCGGATAAGAACCTAGTCCAGCCAACACCTTGATTATAGTCTTGTGAGTACCTAAGCTGAGGACCCAGTGAAGCTGTGCCAAAATTTCCCACCCACAGAAACAGTGTGACAATAAATGTGTGTGTGTTTTTTTGTTTTCTGTTTTCGTTTTTGAGATGGAGTCTCACTCTGTTGCCCAGGCTGGAGTGCGGTGGTGTGATGTCGGCTCACTGTAACCTCTGTCTCCTAGGTTCAAGCAATTCTCCTGCCTCAGCCTCCCTAAT
The DNA here is from genome assembly GCF_000001405.40 of Homo sapiens. Classification (NCBI taxonomy): domain Eukaryota; kingdom Metazoa; phylum Chordata; class Mammalia; order Primates; family Hominidae; genus Homo; species Homo sapiens. The sequence goes on from NT_167244.2 coordinate 1,406,959, forward strand.
AGCTAGGGATTATAGGCGCCCGCCACCACACCCGGCTAATTTTTTGTGTTTTTAGTAGAGACAGGGTTTAACCATGTTGGCCAGGCTGGCCTTGAACTTCTGACCTCAGGTGATCAGCCCACCTTGGCCTCCCAAAATGCTGGGATTACAGGTGTGAGCCACCGCGCCTGGCCATGTGTTGTTATAAGGCAGTAAATTTGTGGTAATTTTTGTGGAGTAATGGATAATGAATACAATTGTATATTAGTCATTTTTGTATAAGCCTCACTTCTTTGGGTGAGCAGGGATCATATTCTGTCTGTGTCCTCATGTCTAGAACAGTGTCTGGCTCATAGCTGGTGTCCAGTAAAATTTTAAATGTATGTATAAGTGAACTAATAAGAAAGCATAAGGAAGGGCTCTTCTCAATCCTCTGATTAAAAAGAGCCATCAATTACCTTATAATCAGTATTTATTGAGCCTTTGCCAAAGTAGTCAATACCATACTGAGAGGTATAAGGAATAAAACATGGCCACAATTATAAAACAAGCCACGTGGTGGTGCAAAGAGTGAAAACTACAGGGTCAGACTTGAGTTTAGGTCTCGGTCCTGACACCTAATGCCTCTGTAACCTTGGGCAAATTACTTAGCCTCTCTGAACCTCTGTACTCCCCCCTCTAAAATAAGGGTTATGGTACCTGTGGCCTGGGATTGTTGTCAAAATTAAATACATGCTGAGTGTCTGCTAAAGTGTCTAAAACGTAAACATTCAAATATGTTCATTTTATCTTTTTTTTTTTTTTGGTGTATTCTGGCTTTATTGTTATTTTTTTTAAATTATACTTTAAGTTCTAGGGTACATGTGCACAATGTGCAGGTTTGTTACATATGTATACATGTGCCATGTTGGTGTGCTGCACCCATTAACTTGTCATTTACATTGGGTATTTCTCCTAATGCTATCCCTCCCCCCTCCCCCCACCCCAAAACAGGCCCTGGTGTGTGATGTTCCCCACCCTGTGTCCAAGTGATCTCATTGTTCAATTCCCACCAATGAGTGAGAACATGCGGTGTTTGGTTTTCTGTCCTTGCGATAGTTTGCTGAGAATGATGGTTTCCAGCTTCAACCATGTCCCTAAAAAGGACATGAACTCATCCTTTTTCATTTCATCTTTTTTTAAAAAAACCACTTCCCCTTTTGAAATGAAATATGGAATGATAAAAAAATTTTAAATAAATTCCACTTCACCATCCAGAAGTTTATAATTTAGCTGTGGAACTATGACTAAACAGCTACAGAATAAGAAGAGAGCGTGTAACTGCACTGAATTAGGTATCACAGAGGCTAAGTGCCCTGGGAATTCAGAGGAAAGAAACAGCGAGCCTGGGAAAGTCAGGGTAGGTTTTGTGGGGGAGGTGGGGATTGGACAAGTGGGAGAGGAAGGTGAGAACATTCTAGGTCACAATAACCACATGAATGAAAGCATAGAGGTAGGAAAAAGCCACGGTACCTTTGTAGGAGTGTGAGGAAACCAACCTGGTTAGGCTGGAATGTTCAGGAATGGGGAAGACGAGAAGTCAACAGGCTAAATGGATGACACCAAGACATAGTGAGGTTTCTGAGTCAGGAATGAAGGGAGAAGTGGTGTTTAATGAAAGCCAGTCTGGATCGTTTGCACAAGAAGGACTGGGACAGAGAGTTGGGGGCTGGAAGGAGAGGGGAGGAGAAAGAGCCTAGTGCAGATGTTCAGAAAAAAGGTATAGTTATTTGGCAAGAAGCTGCAGATCTCAGAGAAACATAAGATCCCAAATCTAAGAGCAAGACATTAGCCAAGGAAAGAACACCCCTGAAAGTGACAGCTAGCAATTTCTGCATCCCAGATGGAGTTAATGTCACCAAGAGAACTTGTACTAGGAGTAGGAGGAGACTGACAGCCCCCAGGGTCTCTCCTCAGGAGAGAATTCAGTTATACTGAAGATGCCTTCCAGGCCCCCCTTGGTCCCTTCTGACGTCACCACAGATGATCAGGCCAGGGGTAGGAGTCTGAACAGCAGATAATTGGCCAAACAAGTCTATGAGGTCACCTGTCAAGGAAGACCTTATCAAAGAGGGACAATAGTAATTAACTGAAACCATCAGGTCCTCTCGGAGATTCAGAAGGGATCCATGATGAATGTGTCATTAGTTGGCAAGAAGAGCAGACACAGAGAGAATCAGAGATGCATGTGCAGCCACGATGTATTGGAACAGGTGTCCATGACCCATGCTGCTGAGAGGCCGCAGGAATATCCAGTCTTCACGCTTCTTTGGACTTCGAGCCCACTTCTTACCGGTAGGTCCTGGGCATACAACATACCACTGCATAATGGTCATGAGCACAGACTCGGGAGCCAAACCACAAGACTTCAAATGCTGGCTCTGCGACTTACTATCAGCTGATTTGAGACCAGCTGCTCGGCCTCCACATGTCTCAGTTCTCTTATGTACAAGATGGGCACCTACCTCCTGAGGTTGTTGTGAGGATTAAATGAGTTAATATATACAAATATTTATTATGGTGTTTGGCCAAAATAAGTTCTATGTGTGTGATTGTTATCAGCATTTTTGGAATCTCTAGTTCTTCCTACAGGAACGAGTGGTGACCCCACCAACTCGCTCACGCCTGACATAGCTTCTCACGGGGCCTGGCTCATGGTGGAAAATCGCATTTTCCTTATTTCTGCTTTTATAATAAACTTACCTATCATTTGAACTAACTTGAGTGGGTCTCAGTTCTTTGCAATAGAAAGGGTTGCTACCATGTAAGCTTTGAAAAATGAGGTGTAAACTGTGGATGTTACAAATGTGCAACAGTCCTTCAGAGTCGGAAAGGGTAGCTGGGACTCTGGGGCCTCTAGACTTGAGCACTTCCTGGGGAGGGAACCCAGAGTCCCACTTCCGGCCAGCAGAGCAAGGAGGTTCATTAAGCTGCCTTATCTTGAAGTTACCAGGTTTTAGGATCTATCCACTTCCCCTGTGCTGACTCCATACTCCGAAAGCAAGTAAACTTCAAGTAAAATTACCCTAGGGGAGAAGCAGGTACTGACAGACCAACATGAGTGTTTTCACTTATGAGCAGTTTTATTTCTCAGTGTAAGACATATAAATTGTTCTCACTGACATATAACTATTAAAAGAAAAATAAAATAAAACAATTTAAAAAGAAGAAATATAAATTGTATTTCTGAATCCAAGTCACCTGTGGGGGTGTAGCCAGCATTAAAATAATCGCCAGGACCCATGCAGGCATCTATCTCTGAATGAGGCAGTGCAGCATAGCAGTTAAGAGCTCTTGGGTCAGACATGGATGAACTGGTTGCATGATCTTGGCTCGTTACCAAGATAAAGTGACACAAGGTGTGTAAAGCTCCCGAGCTGCAAGCCAGGATCTTCATACACATACATTTTAGAGGATAATAGTCCTTTCAAAAGACACAGCTAAAGCCAATAAAAATAAACAAAAATAGGATCTACTTTTCTGGAATCACAGGTTTGGGTGCTTTGGATATGTTTTATCATTATATAGGCACTTGTGTGTGTCTGTATTTTTTTGAATATACAACATTTTAATGAGATACTGCACACTCCCAGGGAAAGCAATTCAATCTCTAATCCCTGGCTTCTGATCTCCACCTCTTTTCTACCTGCTGAGGTAAGGATGAACAACAGAACTTCTCAATTGAATTCTAAGCTTGGGCCTAAGCACGCTGTGCCCTCTGCCTTTGAGTTTGCACCCTGGATGGCTCCCCTCCTCCCAGGAGACCCAGTAGGGAGATGACAGAGCATTGTAGTTTACACTGAGCAGAGTAAACAGATGATGTTAAGGAGACTGTCAGTGAAGGGCATGATTATGCAAAATAAAATACAATAGTGACAAGAACAAGAAAATAAAACATGGTCACTATTCCATCCCATTTCTCAGATGTCACTACAGTAGTCTCAATTACGGTAGTCTCAATTCTTTAGACTAAAGTTCATAGGTCATCCAACTTATGCCCTGGCCTCCTTCTGGAATTCTTTTACCTAGCAGTTTCTGAGCCCACAGCTGAGCTATTTGTGACCCATTTGCTCCCACTATCTCATTTCTTGACCTCAGATGGTAATCAACTGATCAGGAAGACAATTTCCCTAGGGTTGAGTGTGGTCCCTGGGTTATGATTTATGGCTATACCTTATGTCCTCCTGCCCCCAGGCCCTGCACCTTAATCTCACCCAGAAGTGGCAACACCAGGAGGAAGGAGGCAGTGAGTGGCGTCGGCTGGGGATGGCACACATCTGCCCATAATGACAATGGAGACAACCCAGTGCTCCAGAGTCACAGGTCATCCAGCCAGTTCTCTGCTGTTTCCTCTTCTTAAGATGCTTCTTCCCCTCTTTTCCCTATTGACCATAGGCATCCTTTAGACCACCCTTTTCAGAAAGCCATCCCCCACTCACCCTCTCCTTCCAGGCTGGGCTATGCCCCTTCCCCTGAACTCCCATAATGCTGGGGTTGGACTTCCCGTAACACCCACCACACTGTGCTGTAATTTCCTCTTTATGTTTCTCTGTCTTCCCAAGAGCTCTTTCAGATATAGAGCAGGTTTTTTTTTTCTCTATATTTTCAAGTCACCAGTGGCCACCACACTGCTTGGTTCATAGTTAACACAAACTAAATGGTTCTAGAGAATGTGATTACATGAACTCTAACATTATTGGAAGAAAACAAGATGAAAAGAGGTGAGATGCCTTGTTTAAAGTCATACAACTGGTTGACAGGCTGGTTCAAGAACCCAGGTCTTCTGACTTCAAATCCAGTGCCCTTTCTATGCAGCTACTTCTGTGCCAAGCACGGATGGTGGTGAGCAGAACTGGCAGCAGCCTGAGTCCCCAGGTACCCTGGCCATCCACTGGGCATTGGGGAAAGGACTTGATCAGTAGATTGAGAGTCCTCTCTTCTATCCCTTACCACCCGGCCCCATCCCATCTTCTAAAGCAGTCATTTCTATTCCAAGTCATCCAGGTGATTCAGCCAGGGATCAAGTCCACATGGTACTTGGGTTGATATGAGTCCTGTACTTAGAGGAGAGTAGGTAACTGCTCCTTCTCAGGAGCTCAGGGAGAAACTGGACCCTCGGCCCCAGAGCCCAAAGAAGGGAATGACCTTCCTAGTGAAGGAGGCAGTGAAGGTGTAGATGGGCTCTCGGGTGACAGCGTTGGTGAAGGTCACCCAGCCCACCTCATAGTCAAGAGACACCCTCACCTGCCGGGGCTGCTCCTTCAGGGTCAGCCGTGTGGGGAAGGAGCCCAGAGCCGAGACGAAGCCCCAAGCCAGCCTCACAGCCCACACCCCCTCCTCTGGCCGCAGCCGAAGCTCCCCCTTCCGCTGCACATCCTCGCTCACCACGCCCACGGTGCAGCTGCCCCCATGGGCCAGGTCTATACTCACCACCCACGTGTGTCTCCCCCCTGTGATGCCAGTGTGGGCCAGAACACAGGTGGCCCGGTCAAAACGCTGGGGGTTGTCTGGTGAGTTCTGCCATTTGTAGGAGAACTGAGCTCGCTGGTGGTCCTCGGACAAGAGGAGCTTGGGGTGGGAAGTCTGAGGGTCTAGAGAAATGTGAGCTGTGGGGATAACCAAAAGGGACAGATGTCAGCAGACATGCTATTACCTCCAAGGAAGGCATAGAAACTCCCCCTGGGCCCCTCCTGTTAGTGTTATTATTACCAAAAACATGTATAGTGCCTACGTGGGCCAACAGTGTGGAACCACCTGGGAACTTGTTAGATATACGCTCTCAGAATCTGCATCCTAACAAGATGCCCAGGTGATTTGCACACAGGTAAAGCCTGAAAAGCCTGCCTCAGAGGATGTGAAAGCTCTCGTTTAGTTCAGTGTGGTCCTCGGGAAAGCTCTTCTGCTCACCGCAAGTTGGCTGGTTTCCAAAGCTGTGCGTGCCAGCTTGGATCTCCTGGGGCTGATATACCACATTCTCCCCTCCTCCCATCTCTATCCCACAGTGCAGCGACATTTCTCCCTTCAGTCCAAACTTCATGATTCCTCCCTGTTTTCCTCCCAGGGCACTGGTGACTCATTTACAGTCTTCCCTCCTGGCAGGCTCTCTGGCTCACCCCTGGGTTATTCACTCTGCCTCAGTAATTCTGAAACTGTCAGAGTCTGAGGACCACTTTTTACCACCAAAAACTGCTGCAGAGCCTTGCGTTTTGTTACTTTTAGTATTCATAAATTGAGAAGCTTCCATAAATTTAGGTCCATCTGTGGGTTAGAGAACCCCCTCCAACAACTCCGTGACTCCCAGGGTCTTAGGCTGGTTGATTGAGAAATGACAGCCTTGAAGGGGTCCATTCTGTTCATTTTTTTCCCACCCACAGGCCGCCCTCCTTCTGTCATCTGTGAAATGACATCTGAGAGGAAGCAGGGGTTCCTTACGTTCTAAAGAGGTGATTATAAACCCAGATCAAAGTCCCCTTTATCCAGAAAGCATTCCCAGATGGACTTTATCCCATTCTGCATTAATCTTTCTATCTACTCGACATGCGCAGATCAGGATGTGAGCTTCATACCACGAATGTAGTATGTGTATGTGCTTGTCCTTTCTTCATGTTTCTCCTGAGAGCCTTACAAACAATGTGACACACACACACACACAACCTATATATACACACATGTATTATATACACACACATATGTGTATATATAATATATATGATGTGTATATGTATCCATGGGTGTTTGTTATGACTATTGTCATAGTCATAACATAGTCATAGTGCAAATCCTGCAAAATTTTCTCTCCTTTCCGAGGACTTCTCATTCTCTCCCATCCTGACATAGGCTCCTTACCTGGCTCATAGTCCAACTCAAAGCATAGTTTTTCTGTAAAGAAAATAAACCAGGATGAGATTTTATTAGTCTTACAAAACCATCAGACACTTAATGATGAGAAAACTGAGGCCAAGAAGAGGGAAGGGACAAGAAGAAGAATGTAAGCTGGAATCCTCTAGACCAGTGGTTCCAAGCTTGCATCAGAATCATCTGGAGCTCTTGTTAAAACACATCTGTTTCAGATTCAGGTGCTCTGGGGTGGAGCTGAACATCTGTATTTCTAACAATTTCCTGGGCAATGCAGCTGCTGCTGCTGGTGGGAGCCCCACTGCCCTAGCCCTGATCAAACAGGGACCATGACTGCCTTGCTCACCTCTGTACCCGCAGAGCCCAGGACATAGTAAATGCTCAAGAAATATCTGCTTAGTGAATAGAGAAATGGGTTCATTTATTTATTATTCCACTTGGAAATAATTTTGGGGAGAGTCAAAGGTCAGCCTTTGATTAGAGTGAAATTTCCTTCACTGACAGGTCACTGGAAGTATTTGCAGGAAATGGAATTATGGGAAAAGTCCTTCTAGGGTGACATAACTGTGGGTGGGTCATTTCAAAATTGGTGTCATCATTCATTCTGTCATGGTTAGTGAGGAGGTGGTTGGCAGAGAGCCATGTCCCATTCCTGACTCTCATCCAAACCCTCCCCCACACCCTACCACCACTCCCTGTTCCGGAAAAGGAAGTGGAGCACAGTCCCCGTAGGACCGTCTAACTCTGAGCCAGACTAACAGAAAGAAAGTGAGAAGGAAGGAGGGACGAGCCAGATACCACAGGGTCAAGATAAATACTGTTGTTGGCTATTAATTAACAATGTTCATCATCAAAAACTTATCACATATTACAAATGTTGCTGTGGGATTTTTTAACTTATTAAGAATGATATATTGTTAATCATTATCTTTCATATTGCTTAATGACCACTAATCAGATTTGTTGAATTATTTTAAAATCAGTTTAACTTTTTCACCAGAAATATTCACCTTTATTCTCTTTCTTCATTGTCACAATATCCTAATAGGCAGATTTTATAAAAATCTGCAAATAAGGAAATCAAGGCACAGGAAGGAATAAGGCTTGCCAAAGTCACACCTTTCAGCAGTGGAGCGTGGAGGCCACTCCTAAACCCAGGCTTCATGGCCACCTGCGCTCTGTGGAGGCCTGGGGTTCTCTTACCCAGAAACATCTTCATCTCCCTCTGCAGCGGGAGGGCCTGCTGGGGAAAGTCCCGAATCCTCTGGCCCAGCTCTGGCGACACAGCCACCGGTTTCCGGCACTTTCTGGTTTCACATCTAGGGGCACAGAAATGGCTGGGTCTGGGAATTATCATCCTTAATAATGTCTCCAGACTCAGCTGGTCATCTTCTAATAGGGCATGATGGCGCTAGTTCCTGCAGGCAGACGTACTTCCTCTAGGATGAATCCCACTGCCCATTTTTGGGCATCTATGGATATACCTGAGAAGGCATTTGGGTATATAGAGGTTTATATGTAAATTTGTATCCTTAAGTGAGAATGTTATATACCTGTGTGGCAATAACTAGGCATGCAGTACATGTATGTATATTTATATGGAAAAAGAAAAGAGAGAAACTATATTGCTTACCTTATTAGAGTGCTTCTGATGTCCTAGGAGAAAGAGATACCAGAAATTCAGTTTCCAGCTTCTCCTTTCCATTTTTCTTTCCTTTCTTTTTCTACTTTTATTTTATTTATTTTTTATTTGCTTGTTTGTTTGTTTGAGAAAGGGTCTCACTCTGGTGCCCAGGCTGGAATACAGTGGCGTGATCATGGCTCACTGCATACTCAACCTCCTGGGCTCAAGGGATCCTCCTACCTCAGCATCTTGAGTAGCTGGGACTACAGGTGTTTGTCACCATGCCTGGCTAATTTTCTTTTTTTTTTTTTTTTTTTTTTGTAGAGATGGGGTTTTGTTATGTTGCCCAGGCTCCTCCCACTTTTCTTATGACTGGAAAAGACAAAATATATTTCTAGCTCTGGACAGGAAAAGGATACCAGATGCATAGAGTCACAGAGCATTAGGACTCACCCATCTCTGTGGATCAGAGCCCAAAGCCTTTATTTTTTAGATAAAGATGGTGAAGTGACCTTCCCCTGCTCACTGGAGGCAAAGTAAGTCTCATACCAAGGTCTCCTGTTTCTCAGTCCTAAGAGCATCATTCTAAGTCATGCTGCCTTTCCAATACTTTGTGGGGACCCCAATACCTCTCCTCCAGTGTGAGGAAGTGAAATAGACCAGGACAAACTTCCTGACTGGTGGTTGGTGACATTTAGGTTATAGAGAATGGTTTGCAACTTACTTAATACTTTTTCAAAGTGCTACTTTCACTTCCATCTTACTGTTGGATCCTCACAAAAGCCCTGTGAAATATTTAAGGAAAGTATCTTCCCTATTTGGCAGATGGTGGGACGGAGAGGTGGAGACCAGAGAGCAAAAAGTGACCAGGGAACTCTTGGAAAAGCATGAACTAGAATTGAGACTTTCTGGTCCTCTGACCCACCTCCCATCTGGGATACAGAGATGTGTGAGTCAGGGAGACATGGCTTAGGCAAGACAAAGATGCAAGAGTCACAGGACAGCACAGGTGGGGCAGGGTTCCGGTTCAGGCCTCACCGTCAGGAGCTCCCTTGCTGGCCTCTCATTCTTCTCCTCCAGTTCTTCAATAAGAGCACTAAACCGGCAGATCTCCCCAGCAACCAGCAAATCAAATTCATCCCGTTGCCTCAAGATGTCCCCATCCTGGCTCTCCAATTGTGCTAAGAGGATGCTCTGCTGTTCCTCTAGAAACTTCCTCAGGTGTGCGAACTCAGAAATCACCTGTTGTCTCTTGGTGGACACCTGAGTCTGAGGGGGCAGGAGGCAAGCCCAAGAGAAAGTTTGCTTCCTCCTTCTCCCTCTGCTCCTCTTCCTCCCCTGTCCCCAGGTAGATCTGGAACTGTGTCATGGTTTCCTTTTCACTTGTCATCCCATTTCGAGAAGCAAGACTCACAGTGTTGTCTCAGCACCATCTGCTGCAGCTTCTAAAAGGGGTAGGGCTTACAGGAGGTGTAGGAGGAGGTGGTGGGGACACCCTACCTCCTGTCTTGTATGAAAAGCACATTATGTGCACAGCCCTGAGCTACTTTACAGTCACAATCTCATTTAATGCTTACAGTAATTCAATGAGGTCATGATGATTTTTACTCTCCATTTTACAGATAAGTAAACTGAAGTTGGAGAGTTGCTTGAGGTCATAGAGTTAGTGTCAGAGTCAGGATTTAAACTCATAATAACTTCAAAGCCCTATAATCTATGTTGCCTCAGTTTCAGGAAGACACTGGACCCTGAGGAAGGGGAGGAACCTGGGGAAGGGGTGATGACTTACCAGGAGGACTTGCATCCTTTTATTTTCTCTTGACTGGATTTCTTGAATCTCCTCTCTCTCTTTTCTTAGACATTTAAGACACTTATGGATTTGTTCCTGGGGAGAAGGAACATAAAATACTCAAGATGGAAAATGATTTGTTCAGGTTTGTCTGGTCATCTGACCCTCTGCCTCCAGGAATGAAATGGCCCCAGGAGAGGAGTCCCTTCCTTAGCTGACAATCCCCGAGCCTTCACCACCCTGACAGCTTACTCCCTTTGGGTCTTCTTCCTCTTGATTTGTCTCTAAGACTTTGGATCAGGACTTTCCCCCTTTATCCTGTGCCATTAGAGGCTGTGACTTGGTTTTCCCACTTGAGTCTTTCTTCAGGTTTAACATTCTATTGTGTTTTGCTTCGGGTAAGTGGTATCTGGGGTCTGTACTGAGTTTGATATGCCCCGCACTGAAATCATTCTGAGTTTCCGACTCATCCCAAAGGAACATGTGTAAATAACAACCCTCCCTTGTTACTGAAATCAATTATCTGTGTATGACTCCAGAGGGGAGAAGAAACTTGGGTAATGTAAAAATAATTGATAAATTGTTTTCAAAATTATTTGCTCCAGAATAGAGTTAGGAACAGGTACACACACGATAAATATGTGTGTTCAAAGATATATTAGAATTCTCACTATCAACTGCTAATTAACTAATTAAGACATCCACACACAGACTTGTACTAAAACATAATTCATAAGCACAATGCATAAACAACTAAAACCAGCACACATTCATTTAATGACAGATAAAATGGCATGCCACATACATTTACCCAGCCTGAATATATGTAAACACGAATTTATTCACAAACAGGAGCTCTCAGTTACACTTACACACTCAAATATATACATACTCAGACTCCCATCCAAACACACCAGACACACTTCTAAACATGCAAACATTAACACATATACACACTGTTTGTACAATCATTCCCTCAAATGCAAACTTCAGACACACCTGATCCATGGCACAGACACACACACTCATGTTTGGTCACTCATTCATTCAACAAGTACTTGTTGAACTCCCGTTATCTGTTGGCCACAAGTGAACACAGAACACACTCAAAAAAACATAAAACATAAACACAATTTTCCATGCCTGGGTCTATTGCCTGGGTGATCATGTAAGTAAGGAGAAAGAATTTGGCCTCCGGGTGGCCTAAATAATCCACAACTCTGCTGTTTCTCTTAGTCCAGTCCAGTCCACCCTGGGATCCCCCAGTTCCCCTTTCCTACCCTATAGGGAGCCGCTGCATCCTCCAGGAAGCGCATGGTGTGGGTAGCGTGCTCCCCAGCCTCCCGGCACACCACGCACAACTGCATCTCATCATCCTCACAGAAGAAGTAGATCTTCTCTCCGTGCTCTTGGCAGACATCCTCCTCTCCCAAACCCAGTGTGGACACCAGCTGGAGGCGCTCAATGTTCTCCACCACGTTAGCCAGCTGCCAGTTGGGCCGGAAGCTCCCAGGACGGAAGGGTTCTTTGCAGAGTGGGCAAGTAGGGGACTCCTCCAGGTCTGGGCCTGGTATCTCACAGTAGCGGGTAAGGCAGGCCCGGCAGAAGTTGTGGCCGCAGTCGATAGTGACCGGCTCCCTCAGGGTACCCTGACAGATGGGGCAGTTGACTTCATCTGCCAGGCTGGTCACAGAGGCAGCAGAGGCCATGCTGGTCCTGCTGCTATGGCTTCCTCAAGGCCACTCTCTCTGCTTGGCCACGGGGGAAGGGCTGGGTCACACACTCACACACCCACACATGCACATGGCTGGACACAGGCACATACTAAATATGCACCAGCACCCATATCGTCACACACTTGCATCTCTGGCAGCCAGGGTTCTATTCTCCTGCCAACAGCAGAGATGGGAAATAGCAGAGGAGAGGAAGGAAGAGGGGCTCACAGCATTTCAGAGGTGACCTTAGATGACCATAACCAGGGGCTGGCCATTCCTTTCTGCCCATCCAGAGACACTCACAGTAGAAGGAAAGTGGTGATATGTCAGCTGTCCACTGTCAGAAGAAATATTCTTTTGGGGGCAAGTGGGAGACTGGGTCACAGAGTGGAGATGCCATTCCAGCCTTTCTGCCATATGGCCAGCTGTCTCCAAAGAGATTGGAGGTATCAGCCAGCCCAGGGCTTGCCCATCAGCAAGCAGGAGAGTGTGGGGGCTCAGATAAGGTCCTTGTGCCAGGGTGTACACTGCACCAGCAACTTCAATGGTGATGCCTCAACTGGCCTGCTGCAGGCCTCAAAAGAGGCTGGAATATTCCCTATGATGGGGAGGAGAAAGAAAACTACTAACGGCCAGAATTTATTTACAATGACGGTACAACTTACATTGATACAAGCAATTTGGCCAGAATTTATTTACAATGACGGTACAACTTACATTGATACAAGCAATTTAAAAGTATGATCTTATTTCTGTGTCTGCTCTGCAACATCAGTGCTATTAGGATCTCCATTTCATAAATGAGAAAGCTGAGGCCCAGCCAGGTTATTCAGCTTGCCCTAGGCACACAAGTAAGAAGGTGAGTGACCATAAATAATTTGCTGTCAGATCTGTCTTCCGAGCAATGCTATTCAACATAAACGCAAAGTGAGCCACATATGCAATTTAAAATTTCCTAGTGGCCATATAAAAATAGTCTAAACAGGTGAAAGTAATTTTAATGATGTTATTTTATTTAGTCCTATATTTCCAAACTATTATCATTTCAATATGTGATCCATATAAAAAGTCATTAATAAGATATTTTACATTTTTAAATTTGTGAAAAGCCTTTGAAATCCGGTGTGTTGGCCGGGCGCGGTGGCTCACGCCTGTAATCCCAGCACTTTGGGAGGCCTAGGATCACGAGGTCAGGAAATCTAGACCATCCTGGTTAACACGGTGAAACCCCGTCTCTACTAAAAATACAAAAAAATTAGCCTGGCGTGCTGGCCGGCGCCTGTAGTCCCAGCTACTCGGGAGGCTGAGGCAGGAGAATGGTGTGAACCCGGGAGGAGGAGCTTGCAGTGAGCCAAGATCGCGCTACTGCACTCCATCCCGGGAGACAGAGCGAGACTCCATTTCAAAAAAAAAAAAAAAGAAAAGAAAAAAGAGAAAAAGAAAAAGAAAAAAAAGAAATCCGGTATGTATTTTACATATACAGCATGCCGCCATTCAGACCGGCCACATTTCAGTGCTCAGTAGACACATGTGGCTGGTGGCTCCTGTATTGGACAAACTAGTTCCTGGGCTGCACTCGTGGCAGGAAGAGCAGAGATTGGATGGGAAGGGGAGGTAATAAAGTGATTAGAGTAAAAAGGGAGCAACCACAAGGGGCTAGGCTGATCACCCAGTGGGAGAATGGGGGAAGGCCTGGTTTTATCCACAGATGTGTGCATGGGTGAAGGACCGTGGCTGCAGATCTTGGTCTTGGCATGAGGTGTGGGAGGAGCGTAGGGCTTTAAGCCAGGAGACTGGGATCGTCCTTAACGTGATACTTTCTAGCTTTGTGACCTTTGGAAAGTCACTTTACATTTGGAAAGTCAGTTTACATTTCTTTCTCTGTAAAATGAAGGTAATAATGTTTGCCTAGAGGGTTATTAAAATTGAATGTAGTAATATAAAAATACTAAACCCTAGATAAATGTGGTTGAAACTGATTATCTGACTAATCGTTTTCTAATGTGTATCAACATAAATCATTTGCATTATGGTTTCTTGCCTTCTCCCCGCTACAGTAAAAATAAATAAATAAATAAATAAATAAATAAATAAATAAAATAGTCCAGTGTTACCCGAACCCCAAAGGGGACTGTTGTGCCAGGTGGTGGGGGATTTGGGACCGTAGGAGGGGCCACCATGGGCAGATGTGGTGAGGGAGGAAAGGAGAGCAGAAGAGGGGACCCGATGAGCAATCCTTACACCCTACCTGCAGTGTCGAAACAGCGTCCCGCCCACACACTTCCGGCAGAATCTCCCGAAGTCCACACCTCTCACTCCAGCCTGGACTTTGATGCTGTGGGCACGCCTCAGAGCCAGAAGTTTATGGCTCCCACCTGCTCAATCTGACAGGAAGCTTCTGCTCCCCAGTTCTCCCCAGCCACTGTGGTCTACAGATTCCAGGAAACCCATCCCCCTGTGACCTCATGGTGTGCTCTGTTCTCCACCCTAGGGACCAGAAGGAGCCAGGAGTAAAGAACTGGCTTACTTGGCCGCCACTGGGAAATTCTGGGTAATTCGAGACGCCCTGGAATTTGGACCCACTCCGCTGATAGGTGGTGGCCAGGGTTCTAGGGAACACAAGAGGCGGAGCCAGGTGGCTTCCCTGTGCTGGCATTCTTGCCTCTCTCTCTCTTTCTCTCTCTCTGTCTCTCAGCCTTGCAGCCGTTTCCCTCTGCGATTCATGTAAGTGTGACTCGATTTCAGGGAAAGGGAACTCGCGTGGGCTGAGGAGACCGGAGTGGACGGGCTGGGGAAGGCACCGTGATGCCCGCAACCCCGTCCCTGAAGGTGGTCCATGAGCTGCCTGCCTGTACCCTATGTGCGGGGCCGCTGGAGGATGCGGTGACCATTCCCTGTGGACACACCTTCTGCCGGCTCTGCCTCCCCGCGCTCTCCCAGATGGGGGCCCAATCCTCGGGCAAGATCCTGCTCTGCCCGCTCTGCCAAGAGGAGGAGCAGGCAGAGACTCCCATGGCCCCTGTGCCCCTGGGCCCGCTGGGAGAAACTTACTGCGAGGAGCACGGCGAGAAGATCTACTTCTTCTGCGAGAACGATGCCGAGTTCCTCTGTGTGTTCTGCAGGGAGGGTCCCACGCACCAGGCGCACACCGTGGGGTTCCTGGACGAGGCCATTCAGCCCTACCGGGTAAGAAGTGTAGCTTTACCTAGGGCCTGTTTGGGGCAGGATGATGTCCTGTTATGAGGGGAGGAAATCGGGCGGGGATCTGGATGAAAGGCTTCCACATCAGGGAACCCTAAGGTTACAGGGACTTTCGAGGCATTCCCAGACTGAAGGCAGATAGGGCTCCACTTGGATGTGTGGTAGTTCCTGGTCTGGGGGGAACTTCAGCTCCAGCTCTCAGAGGACCCCACAGAGGTGGAGTGCAAAGAACTGTAGCCTTGGCTTCACTCACTATGGAAAGAAAGCTCCAATGCCGAGTGGGATCTTCTGCAGATTATGGGCAGGGTAAACTTGTTCTCCCAGGATCCAGACTGGAAATGGGGTTTATAGGGCCCTGACTGCCAGGGCGCAGAGGGGAGGGAGGAGCTGGGAAGGGGAACCTGCTAGCACTGCTCTTCTTCTTGAGAAAGGGAGGGTGGCAGTAGTCCAGAATTGTGAGAATTCCCCATCTGGCCTTGGGGCACTTTCCTGTCAGCCTCTCAGATCTCTCTCTTGTCATCCAGTCACCAGGTCTGGAAGTGGTTACCTTAGAAACATCTCCCAAATCTTTAATTCTGCCTTATCCTCACAGCCAGGTTCTCCCTATCTCTTGCGCAGACTTTGCAGTCTCCATGGCATTTCCTGTCTCCATTCTCACCCTTTCCAGTCACCTTCCAATCTGCTGGGAGACAGATCCTCCTAAAACACAAAGTCACTCATCTGCACAAAATCCTCCCATGTATACCTAGTGCCCAAAGAAAGTCCAAGGTCTTTAGCAAGACATTCAAGGCCCTTTGCAGTCGGGATCCTTCCTCCCTGTCCGGCCTCATCGCTCAGCCTCCCTCCTCAAGGCACCACGTGTCTGGCCAGACTGAGCTGCACTTGCTGTTTTTTCCTGAGTTGTCTTATTCATTCCTGCTTCCAATACTTTTTGCACATAGTCTCTTCCTCCTAGAATACTCTTCTCCCTTCCTCCCACCTCTCTCTCTGTTTTTAAGTATACAATTCAGGGGCACTAAGTCCTTTTCTTTTTTTTTTTATTATACATGTTCTGGGATACATATGCAGAACGTGCAGGTTTGTTACATAGGTATATACGTGCCATGGTGGTTTGCTGCACCCATCAATCCATCATCTACATTAGGTATTTCTCCTAATGGTATCCCTCCCCTAGTCCCCCAAGCCCTGACAGGCCCCGATGTGTGATGTTCCCCTCCCTGTGTCCATGTGTTCTCATTGTTCACCTCCCACTTATGAGTAAGAACATGTGGTGTTTGGTTTTCTGTTCCTGTGTTAGTTTGCTGAGAATGATGGTTTCCAGCTTCATCCATATCCCTGCAAAGGACATGAACACATCTTTTTTATGCCTGCATAGTATTCCATGGCATATATGTGCCATATTTTCTTTATCCAGTCTATCATTGATGGACATTTGGGTTGGTTCCAAGTCTTTGCTATTGTGAACAGTGCTGCAATAAACATATGTGTGCATGTGTCTTTACAGTAGGATAATTTATAATCCTCTGGGTATATACCCAGTAATGGGATTGCCAGGTCAAATGGTATTTCTCATTCTAGATTCTTGAGGAGTTGCCACACTGTCTTCCACAACGGTTGAACTAATTTACACTCCCACCAACATTGTAAAAGCATTCTTATTTCTCCACATCATCTCCAGCATCTGTTATTTCCTGACTTTTTAATGATCACCATTCTAACTGGTGTGAGATGGTATCTCATTGTGGTTTTGATTTGCATTTCTCTAATGACCAGTGATGATGAGCTTCTTTTCATAGGTTTGTTGGCCACATAAATGTCTTCTTTTGAGAAGTGTCTGTTCATATCCTTCACCTACTTTTTGATGGGGCTGTTTGTTTTTTTCTTGTAAATTTGTTTAAGTTCTTTGTAGATTTTGGATATTAGCCCTTTGTCAGATGGATAGATTGCAAAATGTTTCTCCCATTCTGTAGGTTGCCTGTTCACTCTGATGATAGTTTCTTTTGCTGTGCAGAAGCTCTTTCATTTAATTAGATACCATTTGTCAATTTAGGCTTTTGTTGCCATTGCTTTTGGTGTTCTAGTCATGAAGTCTTTGCCCATGCCTATGTCCTGAATGGTATTGCCTAGGTTTTCTTCTAGGGTTTTTATGGTTTTAGGTCTTACGTTTAAGTCTTTAATCCATCTTGAGTTAATTTTTATTTCAGGTGTAAGGAAGGGGTCCAGTTTCAGTTTTCTGCATATGGCTAGCCAG
The DNA here is from genome assembly GCF_000001405.40 of Homo sapiens. NCBI lineage: Eukaryota > Metazoa > Chordata > Mammalia > Primates > Hominidae > Homo > Homo sapiens. Next base: position 1,424,412 of record NT_167244.2, read on the forward strand.
TTTTCCCAACACCATTTATTAAATAGGGAATCCTTTCCCCATTGCTTGTTTTTGTCAGGTTTGTCAAAGATCAGATGGTTGTAGATGTGTGGTGTTATTTCTGAGGCCCTTCTTCTGTTCCATTTGTCTATATGTCTGTTTTGATACCAGACATATTTGATATCATATACTACAGCCTTGTAGTATAGTTTGAAGTCAGGTAGCATGATGCCTCCAGCTTCGTTCTTTTTGCTTAAGATTGTATTGGCTATGTGGGCTCTTTATTGGTTCCATATGAAATATAAAGTAGTTTTTTCTAATTCTGTGAAGAAAGTCAATGGTAGCTTGATAGGGATAACACTGAATCTATAAATTACTTTGGGCAGTATGGCCATTTTCACAATATTGATTCTTCCTATCCATGAGCATGGAATGTTTTTCCATTTGTCTGTGTTCTCTCTGATTTCCTTGAGCAGTGGTTTGTAGTTCTCCTTGAAGAGGTCCTTCACATCTGTGGGCACTAAGTCCTTTTCTCTCCCTCTCTATTCAACTGGAAATTTATCTTTCAAGGCACATTGTAAATGTTTTCTGCTTTCCAAACCTTCCCTTAGGCCTACAGGCAGAGCTGACCTCTGTGTTCCCATCTCACTGTGTGTACCCCTGGACTATTGCATTTATCTATCTGTATTTTAATCACTTGACATTGACTTCTTCCTGAGATGGTGGTCTCTTTAGGGCAAGGACTGGGCCTTTTCCACCTTTGAACCCCTCAGCACTCAACAGTGTGCCCAGGATGTGATAGTTAATAATTGTGAGTTGAATTATTAATTCAGTCACCTCTATCCACCCATTCTTCTCCCCACAGGATCGTCTCAGGAGTCGACTGGAAGCTCTGAGCACGGAGAGAGATGAGATTGAGGATGTAAAGTGTCAAGAAGACCAGAAGCTTCAAGTGCTGCTGGTACAGGCCACGTCACTGGCTACCTTTTCCTTTGAAGGTTTTCTTAAGAGACTCTGGGGAAACCCGTTGGCTGGTATCTGTTTCCTGGCTGAAAAGAACTGACAAACTGTTCTCGTTCACCTTCCTGTGGCTGCACAAAGGCATTTGGGATCTCAGACCATGAGCACTAGAAGTGGTTCTGATGTCTTGCAATCCAAGATCCATCTTGTATATCACATTTTACAGAGCAGAAAACTTAGGACCAGAAAAGCAATGCTCCCAAGGCCACATAGCAAAGCTGAAGTTCATGAGGAACCTGGATTTCTTGACCCTTAATTCATTGTTCTTTCCATCCTAGTCTGTTTGCCTGAACACACCACCTTCAGATGGGAAGCTTGGGGTCAAAAACATATGTTAGTGTCGGGATTCTAGTCCTGACTACAGGCTGACCTTGAGGAGAGTAGGCTGATGGTGTGGCTACATCTGGATCCCTCACGCCTCTCTTTTCATGCTATAAAGTTATGGAGGAATCACAGTGTGAGGATTTCTGGTACCTTGACCAAGGAGAGAGTGTGGGGACAAAGCAACCTATCCACCATCCCTCAGCTCTCATCAACGTATGCCCTGTAGTTGGTGATTTCCACGGCTAAAACCAAAATTACACACTCTCCCACTAAGTTGTGTTGACTCCAATCACAACTTCCTTTTGCCTCTAAGAAATTATTACAGTCTTCCCCACCTAACTCTAAGAAGGCATAGTAGGGTTATGATGGTATTGTAGTTGTGGAAATATTTTTGAAAAGTTCAACATCATTCTGAGAGCATAATGTAGCATTATTATTAGAGTATCTAGCTAAGACAGTAGCACAGCCCTCATCATTGGTAAGTTCATCCTGAGACCTAACTACTTCTAGGCATATTAGTAAATGGAATGAGTCTTGGACCAGTTGCTCCCTATCCCTGTTAATCAATAATAAGTATATAGATGATCATCCTGGAAGCTATCTCTGAGCCCCTTCCTAACCATGTCTGCCTTTTATCCCTTGAAGACTCAGATCGAAAGCAAGAAGCATCAGGTGGAAACAGCTTTTGAGAGGCTGCAGCAGGAGCTGGAGCAGCAGCGATGTCTCCTGCTGGCCAGGCTGAGGGAGCTGGAGCAGCAGATTTGGAAGGAGAGGGATGAATATATCACAAAGGTCTCTGAGGAAGTCACCCGGCTTGGAGCCCAGGTCAAGGAGCTGGAGGAGAAGTGTCAGCAGCCAGCAAGTGAGCTTCTACAAGTGAGAGACACTTCACCACTTTGTAGGATAAGAGAGGGACTCCACGGGGAAGGGGGTGGGCACCATGCTTTGGGCTGGAGAGAGGCAGGAAAGGGAAGTGGAGAGAGGTTAACGGGGTGCAGATCCAGAGGGGCTGGAGACTTGCCCAAGTCATACACTGTGGTCATGTTAAGGGGTTTAGGGTCAGACAGTCTTGGATTTGAATGTTGGCTCTTCCAATTGTGTGACTTGAGTGAGTCTCTTAGCCTCTCTAAACATGGGGACAGCAATAGCACCTCCCTCATAAAGTTATTGCAAAATTATAAGAAACAATCCATAAAAAATGCTTGGCATGATTCCTGATATACAGAAAGAACTCAATAACTGGTGTCTGCTATGGTTATGAATATGTGATCCTGGCTCACATCAGGTCCAGCTGATAACTGAAGGCAGGCCCCTGCTCTCTACCACCTCCTAATCATTGCAGACACAACCCACCCCCACGATAAGGCTGAAACAGGGAAACCAGCACAAATGAACTGACTACAGAAACCCAAATTAGTAAGAAAACATGATGTAAAAGAACAATCTAATGAGTAGGTAATTAAACAGGACAACTCTCTGCAGAAGGAGAGTTTTGAGTTCATATTTTAAGGGAAAAGTGATGTACAGAATCCCTGACAGGAAGGACTTATGGAAACTAAATGTATGTTCTTGTCTTTCTTTTGCAGGATGTCAGAGTCAACCAGAGCAGGTAGGGCCCACTCCCCGGTCCTGCCTCCTTTTACTCAACATCAAGACTGAATGGGAAGGGGCAGGGGCACTTACTGCCACCCACTTTGCCAGGAAAGCAAAGGCACTCTGGCAGACACACTGTCTCATTCAACTGTGCACAAACAGTCCAAACTCACTAAAGATTTGCGTTCTAAAGGTTCATTTTTAAATTGATTGGTTGGTATTGGGGACACATTTTTTCCCCTAGAAGTGAAGTTATAAATAATAATCATGTTTTTAGGTTGATCCAGGAACATTTATTTAATCTATGAAATTATTAGTACTTGAGTCAGTATCTAACACCATTTAAAATGTAATTTAAAGGGGGAATACTTTCTGTAGACTATGATAAGCATGGAAACCAGGAATACCAGCCTGTTCTTTCATTCATTCATTTTTTACACACATCTCTGGTTTCCTTCAGAATTTTCTAATGCTACTGTAAAAGGACAGCCACCAGGAGCCAGTGGCATTGTAAATGCATGGCCCTTTCCTTCCCTGTCTGCTATAAGCATTAGCAGTCTGCACTGAGATGAAGAGAGGTGTAGTGACTAGGGAACAATTGTCACGTGCTTTGTGCCTATTCCCGTGCAGGGAGGATAAACCCAGGGTCCATGAATCAGGAAGTGTCTCCAAACATGCTTTTCAAAGAGCATTAGAGGTTTAGATCTAGAAGGGCTTGGAGGTCTTCCAGTCTGAGGAAGAAACTGAGACCCAGGGGGTGAAGAGTCTTCAAGGTAATGCAGCAAGTGTCTAATGAGGACTGAGCTGGGACCAGAATCAGGAGTTTTTTTCATTGCAATATGTATTTTCGTTGATCCTTTTTTTTTCTTCCCTTCTAGCCTCTTTTCCTTTACAAATAGCAGCATACACAAGGGTAGTTTAAGGCTGTTTTCAAATGGTACCCTGTTGCCCTCTAGAGACCAAAAGGGGTAATGATCTCTGTCCCTCAGCCCCTACAGAACCAAACATTCTCCTAAAGGGGCTTACCTCCAATTCTTGAGAAGTGATTATCCTTAGTTCCTCTTAGGTTTAACTGAAATGCCTACTATTTTAGTAACTACACATTTCCAGCAAAAGTAAAGAAATGATACTCAATTTGATTATTCACCACAGACGCCAAGATCATTCTTTAGTCTGATTTTAGCCTCACGTGGTCTCACCCGAACATTTGTTTTTGGAATTTGGACCTAACTGGTTACCAAACCTGTCTGCAGGTGTGAGATGAAGACTTTTGTGAGTCCTGAGGCCATTTCTCCTGACCTTGTCAAGAAGATCCGTGATTTCCACAGGAAAATACTCACCCTCCCAGAGATGATGAGGATGTTCTCAGGTAAAGGGGAAGGCGCCACAGTTTTCCCCAGTCCCATTAGCTGCCCTCCTGTCTTCCACCCATCTCCATCCTTCTCTGCCCTTGAAACCTGGCTCGAGACATCTTCCCTCCCCAGAGCCTTCCCTTAGTGATCTCAATTTATTCAGGGGCACTATTCCCAGAGCATCTCCTCCACTCCCTAAGGACAGGTGCAGGACTGAGAGTCCAGGAGGGTGAGGACCCTTCTCCTCCACTAGACCACAGCAGAAGCCGAGTCTTCTGTCCTCATCTTCACATTGTACTCAAGTCACCTTGCCCCTGGGGGTGCCTATAAGAAGTAATAAGTCACAGATCTCTCTTTCTATTTCTGCTTCCCTCAGAAAACTTGGCGCATCATCTGGAAATAGATTCAGGTAAACAGCTTGGGATTTGGGGAGTCATTCTTCCATTCATCCATTCAATCCATGGCAGCAAACAGAGCAATAAAATGCATGAATTCTGGAGCTTGATTGCTTGAGTTCTCGATTCCAGTTCTTGCTAGCTCTGAGACACTGGGCAAGTTATTAAGCCTCTGTCCCACAATATTTTCTTCATCAGTAAAATGAAAATAAAAGTACTGTACCTGTCCCATAAGTAGCTGTGAGGACAAAATAAATTAATACATGCAAAGAGCTTAGTATATTACCTGACTCATAGTAAGTGCTCAATTAATGTCATCTACTTGTGTAGATATTACTCGTTGAAAAATACTTATCAAGCCCTAGTTTTTTGAGAGCATTGTGCTGGGCTCTCTACTGATTTGAACAAAAAATGTGCAATTTTTTAAAAATCACATTTATTTTTAAATTGGTGCTTAATTTAGAAGTTGTTTCCATAAGCATCACCTCACTCACTCTGGTATAGGTAAGTGCTTTTCAAACTTAATATGCAGAAACGTCTCCTAGGGATCCTGTTAAAATGCAGATTCTGATTTAGTAGGGTGGGATGGGGCCCAATATTCTGCATTTCTAACAAACACCCAGGTGGTGGGGATGCTGCTGGTCCCTCCCGCTGCACTTTGAGAAGCAAATCCTTAACAGCACCACTTGCTGATTAGGTAGAAGGGCGGTTCAGAGAAGTGGCCCAATGGCAGGCTGCCCAAGTCCAGTACTCCTTCTGCCTCCCACGTGCGTTGCCTGCTCTAGGAACATCTGTGGTTGCCGCCCGCTGTTGATGTCTGCGCGCTCCTCCCTCTAGGGGTCATCACTCTGGACCCTCAGACCGCCAGCCGGAGCCTGGTTCTCTCGGAAGACAGGAAGTCAGTGAGGTACACCCGGCAGAAGAAGAGCCTGCCAGACAGCCCCCTGCGCTTCGACGGCCTCCCGGCGGTTCTGGGCTTCCCGGGCTTCTCCTCCGGGCGCCACCGCTGGCAGGTTGACCTGCAGCTGGGCGACGGCGGCGGCTGCACGGTGGGGGTGGCCGGGGAGGGGGTGAGGAGGAAGGGAGAGATGGGACTCAGCGCCGAGGACGGCGTCTGGGCCGTGATCATCTCGCACCAGCAGTGCTGGGCCAGCACCTCCCCGGGCACCGACCTGCCGCTGAGCGAGATCCCGCGCGGCGTGAGAGTCGCCCTGGACTACGAGGCGGGGCAGGTGACCCTCCACAACGCCCAGACCCAGGAGCCCATCTTCACCTTCACTGCCTCTTTCTCCGGCAAAGTCTTCCCTTTCTTTGCCGTCTGGAAAAAAGGTTCCTGCCTTACGCTGAAAGGCTGAAGTGGGGCGCGCGAAGGGCGGCGAAGCGGAGACGGCGGCTCTCCGGGATCCAGCTCCGCCCCTGGCCAGTGTGCGGCCCGGGGGCTCCCTGTGCCCGCGTGAGGCGAGAGAACAGGGGACTTGAGTCTCGAACAGCGGTTGTTTTTACTTTATTTATCTTAGGCCCTCAGCTCCCTGACGTCCTGAGCCTCCCTGTGACGCTCTGGCCTTCTCTGCACCTCAGAGTGCAGAACCACAGACGGCTTCGGCTGTGCCTAGGGCAACAGCCAACCTAGGAGCCAGCGGGCTTTCGGGGAAAAAAAAGAAAAAGACATCTAAAATAAAATGTTTAAACTGTTTCAAAATAATTATCTTGGGAAAAATCAGGGTTTTGCTGGACTTGCACTAATTTGTACAGTCAACTTCGTACTTTGACACACACCTGAAGATGCCTCCACCTTTGTAGGGCTTAGGGCCTTTTTATCAGCCCTGGGTGGACCCCAGGGCCCCTTCCTTTCCCTTCCCTTCTGGTCATTTCTCTGGACTTGTAGAGAATGTCCTAAGAAAGTGTGACTCACAGACCTCTGGATTCCATGTGTCCAATTAGCGCTGATGGGACTGGAGAAAGGCTTAAATCCAATGGGATCTGCCTGTGTTGGCAATTTAGGGCCGAGATGGCTCGAGGGAGTAGATGCAGAGAGGAAGGGTGATGATCCCTCTGTGACCAAGACACAATCCTGTCCCTTCTTTTAGTCAGGATATCCCTGATGACAGACAGTGGGACAATCACCAGGCCCCATTGTTTAATAAAACGAGGCTTTTGCTCAGGTCTAACTAACCTCTCAAATATTTGTTATTACTGCAGTTATTATTTGGACACAGAAACAGACCACAGGTTAAAATAACTTTAAAAAGCAAAGTATTAATCCCTATACAAGTGATGTTTCCTTCCACCCCTACCCTTTCTCCTCTCAAGTTGAACACTCACATTCTCACCCTTCCACCCCAACCTCTGAAAAAAATCTGCCTTCAACTCCAATCCAGGTTCCCTGTAGTGTAAGACAATACCCTGTGTACAAGAACACTTTAGGGTCGGCACGGTGGCTTGCGCCAGTAATCCCAACACTTTGGGAGGCTGAGGCAGGTAGATCACTTAAGGTCAGGAGTTTAAGACCAGCCTGGACAGCATGGTGAAACCCTGTCTCTATTAAAAATATAAAAATTAGCTGGGCGAGATGGCAGGCGCCTGTAATCCCAGCTGCTCAGGAGGCTGAGGCAGGAGAATCACTTAAACCAGGGAGGCGGAGGTTGCAGTGAGCTAAGATCAAGCCACTGCATTCCAGCCCGAGTGACGGAGTGAGACTCCATCTCAAAAAAACAAAAAACAAAAAACAGGCTAGGCGCGGTGGCTCACGGTGGTAGGCCGAGGCAGGTGGGTCACCTGAGGTCAGGAGTTTGAGCCTGGCCAACATGGTGAAACCCCATCTCCACTAAATATACAAAAATTAGCTGGGTGTGGTGGCAGACCAGCTACTTGGGAGGCTGAAGCAGGGGAATCACTTGAACCCAGGAGGCAGAGGTTGCAGTGAGCTGAGATTGTACCACTGCACTCCAGCCTGGGTGACAGAGTGAGACTCTGTCTCCAAGAAACAAACAAACAAATAAAACAAAGAACATCTTCATTATTGCGTAAGCCCTGCTCCTAAAGCATGGGTCAGATGTTTTAAAAGCACTCAAAGAGTTTGGACCATATGTGAATTTTATTTAAAAATTGTAACATGAATCAATGTGATGTGAATAATTAACCCTAACTTGACTGTTGGGGAAATAGAGGTTCTTGATATAAAAGAAGCCAGACAATGTGGGGTTTCTTCTGCCCCCCAGTGTGGTGAGCAGAGCCATCCTTATCTGACCCAAGTGGCTTGGTAGTCCAACCTAGTAGTAGTAGTAGTGGTAGTAGTAGTAGTATTGCCCAATGCTTATTATAAAAGTTGTATATGCTCATGGTTAAGAAAATTCAAACATTTTCAAAGTGTATAAATAAAAACCTCTTTCCCCACCCACTCAACACTTCCCCTTGCCACTCCCCATAGTTAAACATTGATATCAATTTTTTGTATATCCTGCAAGTTTTGAATACAAATATATATTGCTTTCTCTTTTTTTTACATAAATTAGATTATGCCATAAGTATTCTTTGCAACCCCTCCAAAAGAAAAACTATGTGCAACACATGCTAATTGTACCATTGGTCAAATTTGTTTTAATTATATCTTCATTTGAACCTTACAACAAGCCTGTGAAATACATAAGACCTATTTTGTTTTTCTCATGTGGTGGTTGAGAAAACTGGCACACAGTTAAATGAACTTGTCTAACAATTTTCACAGCTGGTCCTTGTGACCTGCTGAAGTAGAATCTACCTGTCCTGGAGCTCAGTGCAGTCACATTTCCACCACACTCAGACTTCTAAAACAGACACATCCCAATGGGGCTATGTTTCATTTGCTACCCATTGAATTCATGTTTTAGACAGGGCATTTTTGGTTTCATATGAAACAGAAAAAAAAAAAAAAGAACCGATGAACCATAAGCACACTGTATTTCCAAGTCTCTGGTACTTCTAATTTTAGAGTGGTCCAGATAATTTAAAAGTGTGGATATGCACATTTGGAGGCTTTGTGCCTATATTAATAAATTGTTCTGCATAAGAAAGGAAAGAGAAATTTAGAAGCCAAAAGAAATTTGGGAGTGGCTAAGACCTCAGGGTGAGGACTGAGAGCTGCCTGAAGGAAAAGCAGAGGAAAATTATTCATTTGGTGGTCCAGCTGGAGCCACAGGATGGCTGTGTTCCTGTGTTTGTGATGTAAAACTGTCCTCTATCTCCCCTACAAGATCCTCTGCACAACCTGCCTTGCCCCTAATGCTTTTTGTAGGTGTTCCTGAATTCCAAGTGCTGAGTTCTGTCCACTACTGGGCAGGAGGCAAAGAGATCCCACAAAATAATTGCTGGGCTGCTGGACTATGTGAGGAGCAGTCACACTGATGTGCCTCGGAGAACCAGAGGGGTTATTGTAAGGACCAAGGTGGGACCTATAAGGGAATCTCTCTGGAGCCCAGGAACCGTGATGACAGTGAGCTGGTTGTAATGGGAACTAGAGCCTAGGCAGATGCATTGTCTCTCTGGTCGGCTTACTTTGCTCTGGATGTGGGGCCCATTCTCCTGTCTATAAGGAAGCTTCCTAGCTCTACTCATGGCCTTTATTTTCTTTTTCATTTTCAGTTCTTTCCTTCTTTCAGACTTCCAGTGTAGAGTGTTGACTCAGTCATACCTCTCAGTTCTTGGAACACTATCATCATCAGTCCATGCAAGGTCTTCTGGTTTTATTTGTATTTTCTCCTCTCTCCCCAATTTTTATTCCCATTCTCCTCACTCCCAAAGGCAGCTACTCCCTAATGTTTTTCTTTTTTAAAAAATTTTTCAACTTTTAAGTTCAGGGGTACATGTGCAAGATGTGCAGGTTTGTTACATAGGTAAATGTGTGCCATAGTAGTCAGCTACACAGATCATCCTATCACCCAGGAATTAAGCCCAGCACCCATTAGCTATTCTTCCTGATCCTCTCCCTCCTCCCACCCCCGCCCTCCAACAGGGCCCAGTGTGTGTTGTTCCCCCCGCCTCCTGCCATGTGTCCATATGTTCTCATTATTTAGATCCTACTTATAAGTGAAAACATGCTGTATTTGGTTTTCTGTTCCTACTTTAGTTTGCTAAGGATAACAACCTCCAGTTCCATTCATGTCCCTGCAAAGGACATGATCTCATTCCTTTTTATGGCTGTAAAATATTCCATGGTATATGTGTACCACATTTTCTTTATCCAGTCTATCATTGATGGGCATTTAGTTTGATTTCATATCTTTGCTATTGTGAATACTACTGCAATGAACATACACATGCATGTATCTTTATAGAGAACGATTTCTATTCCTTTGGGTATATACCCAGTAAATGAGATTGCTGGGTTGAATGGTATTTCTGCCTCTAGGTTTTTGAGGAATTGCCACACAGTCTTCCACAATGGTTGAACTAATTTACACTCACACCAACAGTGTTAAAAGCATTCGTTTTTCTTCACAACCTTGCCAGCATCTGTTGCTTTTTGACTTTTTAGTAATAGCCATTTTGACTGGTGCGAGATAGTATCTCATTGTAGTTTTGATTTGATTTTCACCTATAACCATCTGATATTTGACAAACCTGACAAAAATGTCTCTAGTAGCAAGTATTACTAATCTATTAATTACTAAACTCCCTTTAATCCAAGAGTATTTGTTCTTTGTGCTCAGGATTTCTTTGGCTATTTGGGCTTTTTTTGGGAGGGGGGGGTTGGTCCATATGAATTTTAGGATTTTTTTTTCAAATTCTGTGAAGAATGATGTTGATATTTTGTTAGGGATTGCATTTAATCTGCAGATTACTTTGAACAATATGGTCATTTTAATGATGTTGATATTCCTTCTAATCCATGAGCATAAGGTGTTTTTCCATTTGTGTTGTTTTGAATTTCTCTCAACAGTATTTTGTAGTTTTCCTTGTAAAGATCTTTTGCCTCCTTGGTTAAATTCAATCCTAAATTGTTTTTGGTAGCAAAAATTTCTAAATGAGATTGCCTTCTTGATTTCTTTGTTGGCTAAATCATTACTGATGTAAAGAAATGCTACTGACTTTTGCATATTAATTTTGTAGCCTGAAACTGTACTGAACTCATTTATCATATCTAAGAGTTTTTTGGTGAAATCACACATTGTGTTTCTTTCTTTTGCCTGATCCTTATAGCTAGGATTTTAGTACTATGTTGAATAAGAGTATTGAGAGTAGACATCCTTGCCTTGTTCCAGTGCTTAGAGGAAAAGCTTTCCACTTTTCCTCATTCAGCATGTTAGCTATGGGTTTGTTACATACAGCTCATTTGAGTTTGAGGTTTGTTCCGTCTATGCCTAGTGTGTTGTATGTTTTTATCTTAAAAGAATGTTAAATTTTATCAAATGCTTTTTCTGCATCTATTAAGATGATCATATGGTTTTTGTTCTACATTCTATTGATAATATGTATCATGCTTATTTATTCATATTGAAACATCTTTGCATCTCTACTATAAATCCCACTTGATTTTGATGTAGTATTTTTCGATGTGCTGTTGGGTTTGGTTTGCTAGTATTTTGTTGAGGATTTTTGTATCTATCTATGATTTTGTATCTATGTTCATTAGGGATATTGACCTATAATTTTCTTTTTGTTGGTGTTGTGGTGTATCTGTCTGGTTTTAGTATTAGGGTGATGCTGACCTCATATAATTAGTTAGGGAAAATTCCTTCCTCTTTGACTTGTTTGAACAGTTTCAGGAGGATCGGTATTAGTTCTTTGTATGTTTAGTAGAATTCAGCTGTTAATCCCTCCAGTCCTAGGCTTTTCTTCTTTGAGAGACTTTTAATTACTGATTCAATCTTGCTATTAATTATTGGTCTGCTCAGGTTTTCTATTTTTTTCTGATTCAGTCTTGGTAGGTTGTGTGTTTCCAGGAATTTATCCACTTCCTCTAGATTTTCCAATTTTATCTAGTTGTTTATAACCGTCTCTGATGATCTTTAATATTTCTGTGATGTCAGTTGTAATGTCTCCTTTTTCAATTCTGATTTTGTTCATATGGGTCTTCTGTCTTCTTGGTTAGTCTAGCTAGTAGCTTATCAATTCTGTATATCTTTTCAAAGAACCAATTTTTCATCTCATTGATCCTTTGTATTTCTTTAAGTCTCTACTTTCTGCTCTGATCTTTATTATTTCTTTTCTTCTGCTAATTTGGGGTTTGGTTTGTTCTTGCTTTTCTAGCTCCTTCAGGTACATTGTTGGATTGTTAATTTGTAATCTTTCTACTTTTTTAATGTAAGCATTTATTGCTGTAAACTTTCCTCTTAGCACTGCCTTTGCTGAATCCCACAGGTTTTATGTTTCCATTTTCATTTGTTTTTAGATTTTTTTTTTAATTTTCATCTTAATTTCTTTTTTTTTTTTTTTTTCCAGATGGAGTTTTGCTCTTGTCTCCCAGGCTGGAGTTCAATGGTGTAAACTCGGCTAACTGCAACCTCCACCTCCCGGGTTCAAGCGGTTCTCCTGCCTCAGCCTCCCAAGTAGCTGAGATTACAGGCGCCTGCCACCACGCCCAGCTAATTTTTTTGTATTTTTCACAGAGACAGGGTTTCACCATGCTGGCCAGGCTGGTCTCGAACTTCTGACCTCAGGTGATCCATCCGCCTCAGCCACCCAAAGTGCTGGGATTACAGGTGTGAGCCACCATGCCTGGCCTTCTATCTTAATTTGTTCATTGACCCAATGGTCATTCAGGACCATGTGGTTTAATATCTATGTATTTGTATAGTTTCCAAAGTTCCTCTTGGTATTGATTTCTCATTTTATTCTATTGCAGTCTGAGAAAATATTTGATATGATTTTAATTTTTAAAAATTTATTGAGACTTGTTTTGTCACCTAATATATGGTCTATGTTGGAGAAGGTTCCATGTTCTGATGAAAAGAATATATATTCTGCAGTTGTTGAATAGAATGTTCCGTAAATGTTAGGTTCATTTGGTCTAAAGTCCAGTTTAAATCCAATGTTTCTCTGTTGATTTTCTGTCTAGATAATCTGTCTAATGCTGAGCATGAGGTGCTAAAGTCCCCCACTATTATTGTATTCCAATCTGTCTCTCTCTTTAGAGCTAGTAATATTTGCTTTATGAATGTGGGTGCTCTGGTGTTTGGTGTATATATATTTAGAACTGTTGAATCTTCTTGCTGGATTGATCCCTTTATCATTATATAATGACATTTTTGGCTTTTTTTTTTCACAATTCTTGACTTAAAGTCTGTTGTATCTGATATAAGTATAGCTACTCCTTCTCACTTTTTGTCTCCATTTGTATGGAATATCTTTTTCCATCCCTTTACTTTGTCTATATTTGTCTTTACTGGTAAGAAACTTTACTGAGTTTCTTGAAACAGCTTACAGGTGTATTATCTTTTTAAATAAATCCAGCCATTCTACATCTTTCAAGTAAAGAATTTATTCCATTTACATTCAAGATTATTATTGATATATGAGACTTTGTTCCTGTCATATTGTTGTTTTCTGATTGTTTTATATATTCTTTGTTCCTTTCTTCTTGTTTGTCATTGTGGTTTGGTGGATTTCTGTAGAGGCACCATTTGAGTCCTTTCTCTTCTTCCTTTGTGTGATTGCTTTACTAGCGAGTTTTATACTTTTGTGTGTTTTTATGATGGTAAATATCATCCTATCACTTCCAGGTTTAGGACTCCCTTGAGCATTTCTCGTAGGACTGATCTAGTGGTAACAAATTCCCTCAGTATTTGCCTGTCTGGGAAAGACTTTATTTCTTTTTCCTTTATACTTTAATTTGGCTGGATCTAATATTCTTGGCTGACAGTTATTTTCTTTCATCATTTTGTATATACCATCCCATTATCTTTTGGCCTGTAGGGTTTCTGCAGAGAAATCCACTGTTTGTTAGTCTGATGAGTTTTCCTTTTAGGTGACTAGGCACTATTCTGTTGCTATTTTTAGAATTTGCTCTTTATTTTGACTTTAGACAGTCTAATTATAATGTGCTATGGAGAAGACCCTTTGCATTGCATCTGCCTGGGAAACATTGAGCCTCCTATACCTGCATGTCCAAATCCCTTGCTAGGCTTGGAAAGTTTTCATCTATTATTTCATTATATAGATTTTCTAATCCTTTCATTTCTTCATCATCCTCGGGGATACTAACAATTCATATATTCAGTTGCTTTATGCTGTCCCAAATATCATGAAGGCTTTGCTAATTTTTTTATCTAGGCAAAGTAAATTGAATTTTTTAAAATTATTTTTTCTTTATTTTTGTCTGACTAGGTTATTTCAAAAGAGCTGCCTTCAAGCTCTGAGACTCTTTCTTCTCCCCAATCTAGTTCTATTGTTGAAGCTTTCAAAGGTATTTTGTATTTCCTTTAATAAATTCTTCATATCCAGATTTTCTATTTTTCTTTTAAAAAACAATCTATTGCTTTATTAAATTTCTCATTCATATCCTACATTATTATCTTTTTTCTTTCTATTGTTTTTCAGAATTCTCTTATATATCACTGAGTTTCTTTTTTTTTTTTTTTTTTTTTGAGATGGAGTCTCACTCTGTCACCCAGGCTGCAGTGCAGTGGCACGATCTCAGCTCACTGCAAGCTCCGCCTCCCGGGTTCACGCCATTCTCCTGCCTCAGCCTCCCGAGTAGCTGGGACTACAGGCACCCACCACCACACCCAGCTAATTTTTTCTATTTTTAGTAGAGACGGGGTTTCACCGTGTTAGCCAGGATGGTCTCAATCTCCTGACGTCGTGATCCACCCACCTCGGCCTTCCAAAGTGCTGGGATTACAGGCATGAGCCACCGTGCCCAGCCTACTGAGTTTCTTTAAAATCAGTACTTTGAATTCTTTATCTAGAATTTCATGAATTTCTTTCTGATTGATAACTGTAGCTGGAGAGGTATTGTGTTCCTTTGTTGGTGTCATATTTCTTTGTTCTTTAGTTTTCTGTGTCCTTACATTGATATCTGCACATTTAGTTGCAACAGTCACTTCTTCCATTTTTGAAATTGCTTTCATAGGGGAGGATTTTTTTCCTGAAGATTTTACGTGTTGTTTGTTGAGTAGGGTGCTTTGGCTTTGATTTTGAGTGCCTATAGTAGTGTGATCCCTGTATGATTTATTTGGCAGTATACAACATCAGTGGTATCTGTGACTTCCTCATTGACTTAAGGTGCACTTATTAGTGAAGGCTGTGGTGAAGTTTGGCTGGGAACTAAGATGCTAGGTGGGCCAGTCTTCAGGCCCTAGTGATGGCAGCGGTGGGTTGAATGAGCCTGTGCTAGGGCCCACAGAGTGGCTTAAACTGACAACAGCGTTAGTGGGTCTTGGAGGGCCAATTATTGGGCCTTCAGGTGACTTGCTCAGATGCTAGCAGTGGCAGCAGTGGGCCAGACATGTGGGCAACTTCTCAGGCTCCTGGGCAGCTGGTGTGAAATGGGTAATGGCAGTAGCAGTGGTGGAACAACCTGCTAGGACCCAAGCAGTCTGTGCTGGTGTTGGTGGTGGCTGTGACAAGTTGGGCAGGCTAGTACCCTGACCCACTGGTAGCATGTGTGGGTGGGTGTCAGTTGTGGTGGTATTGGTAGATTGAGTTGGACTGACCTCAGATCCTGACAGGAATGATTCAGATGCCAGTGGTGGTAGATTGGGCTGGGCAATTTCCGGGCCCCTGGATGATGTGCTTGTGTACTGGGGGGATGGGATCAGGCCAGCAGACCTGTCCTCAGGGCCCCCTGCAATGCATTCAGGTGCTAGCTGTGATAGACAAGAGATGGAGAGGTCCCCAGACCACTGGCAGAATGCTCAGGTGTGGGCTGGCTGTGGTGGCTGCACTGTAGTCCTGCAACCAGGGAAGGCAGGGCCACTCTCAGCTGGCGCATCATGAGCAAGTAGCTGTGGGAAGTGTCATCTGCTCACACCTTTGTCCACACCAGCCCATAGCAGCAGTGGTGGGATTTGTCCTAGGAACGTGCGGAAGTGCCCCGTCTCTACTCTCCCTCCTCAACTTAGCCTTGGCTTGGCGGCAGCAGCCCCAGCCAGGCCCAGGGGCAGAATGCAGACCCGGGTGGTTGAGCTCTCAGAATAATGACTACAGGTTTGCCACCGGGAGGGCAGGACCCCTCTCAGGTGGAAGAGCAAGGACAAGTAGCCACAGGGAGTGCAGTCTTCTCAAGCCCTGGTCTCACAGCAGCCTGTAGCAGTGGCGATGGGATTTGTCCAGGGGGGTGCATGGGAGTGCTCAGTCTCCCATCTCTTTTTTGCCAGGTGGCAGCAGTAGCAGCAGCAACAGCAGCGCCACATCAGTCCGGCCTCAGGTCAAGACTTATGTGATAGGCATTATTCTGGGTACTTGGGATGCATCAGTTTTTAAAAAGTTTCTTTTTAAAGCTCATGCCTGTAATCCCAGCACTTTGAGAGGCCAAAATAGGTGGATCACCTGAGGTCAGGAGTTCATGAACAGCCTGGTCAATATGGCAAAACCCCGTCTCTTCTAAAAACACAAAAAAATTAGCCAGACATGGTGGTGTGCGCCTGTAGTCCCAGGTACTTGGGAGGCTGAGGCAAGAGAATCGCTTGAACCTGGGCAGCGGAGGTTGCCAGTAAGCCAAGATCATGCCACCGCACTCCAGCCTGGGCAACAGAGCGAGACTCCGTCTCTATTAAAAAAAAAAGAGAAAATCTATGGCTCTTTCTGTTCTCCCATAACCATACTCTAAATGCACTCTTTCTGTACCCAGTTTGTCCCTGCTTTAGGACTTTGCTGTTCCCTCTAGCTGATGTGATCTTAGACCTTCCCTCTCACCATTCTGATTTCAGCTCTCATGCCATCTTTTCAGGGAACTCCCTTCTGATCACACATTATAAAATAGATACTAGGTCACTATCTATCACAGACTTATTTCACTTCCTTGCATAGTGCTAATTACTTTTTTTTTTTTCAATTTTAACATACTGCCTGTCACCATTTGCTGGAATATAACCTCCAAGAGTGCAGAACTTTGTTAACCTTATCACTGTTGTAACCTAGAAACATCCTGGCACATCACGGGTACTTAATAAATGAATTCAGGAGACATATGAAGCCTGGAGATAACAGATTTGAGAGAATACAGAAAATAGGAGGAAAAGTCAACAAGAAATAATTCAGGCAGGGCACAGTGGCTCACGCCTGTAATTCCAGTACTTTGGGAGGCTGAGGTGGGAGGATCACTTGAGCCCCAGAGCTCAAGGCCACAGTAAGCTACGAGTGCACCATCACTAGAGCCTAGGTGACAGAGTAAGACCATGTCTCTAAAATAATAAAAATTCAGCCAGTTGTGGTGGCTCACACCTGTAATCCCAGCAAGGCAAACACAAAATAGTTTGCTGAAAGGTATGAACTGGGTCTTTGGAGGGAGGTATGGGGCAGGGAAATGTTCCTATTTGTAAGAAGCACTGTAGAAAGTTTACCATATGTGCAAGTAGAGTTATACAAAATGAAAAACTATGAATATAAAAAATAAAAAGGGAAAATTTACATGAGCCCACAACTTAGAGAACAGAGAGGAAATATGCTCTTTGCCACTAGCGTAATTTTACAGGTAGTTTCGTATAATCCTCCCTTTTCCATCTTTAAGATGGCAATTTAAAAAATCAGAAAGGACTGCTGGGCGCGATGGCTCACGCCTGTAATCCCAGCACTTTGGGAGGCCGAGGTGGGTGGATCATGAGGTCAGGAGATCAAGACCAACCTGGCTAACATGGTGAAACCCCGTCTCTACTAAAAATACAAAAAAATTAGCCGGGCGTGATGGCGGGCGCCTGTAGTTCCAGCTACTCGGGAGGCTGAGGCAGGAGAATGGCGTGAACCCGGGAGGCAGAGCTTGCAGTGAGCCGAGATGGCGCCACTGCACTCCAAACTGGGAGACAGAGTGAGACTCCATCTCAAAAAAAAAAAAAAAAAAAAAAAAAAAAAAAAAAAAATCAGAAAGGACAAGAAAAACAGTTGACTGTGTTAGGATGCAAGGCTGAATCTCTGCACATTCTATTTCCTCTGAGGCAGTGCTTATTTTCCAAGGAAGAATTTTTGGGTGTGCTATACTGGAGGTCTCCCTTCTCAGGGAGAGTCATCACTTGCTCCAAAACGCTGGACCTCAGCTCAAGGGCACCACTGCAGGAGGAATAAAAAGGTGGAGCCACGCAACAACTCGTCTGTGTTCCGCAGTAGGCTCTTTTTGAGGGACTTCCAGAAATGACAGCATGTGTGCAGAGAACAGAAAGCAAAGTTACACTGTTACAGAAGGCACAGAAGGAAAACCTTCGGCTACTGCTATCAGTGGAATTTCTCTGTAGCCAGACTGAGGTCTGGTGGCATTTGAGATATAATATAGATATAGACCTACAAATACAGATCTCCAGGCTGTTCATTCAACAAGTCTTTATTGAGCACCTACTCTGTGCCCAGCACTGCACTAGGTGCCATGAGAATACAAGAGTAGTATAAGATGTTATCCGCCCTCCAGGAGCTTACAAAACTAGAGGCAGAAATAAGATGTACATGTGACTCAGGCAGCATGTGACACACACAAAGTGGGCAGCTCTGAGACAATGGTGGTCAAGTGACCACTGAGGCCCAGAGCCGTTGGAACAGTCTCTTAGAACAGGGTGGAGGACTTAAAACTTGGATGAACAGGGGCTGGCAGAGCACTTGGAATGGGTAAGGACAAGACTGGGAGATCAATTTGGCTGGAGCAGGGGAGCTTGTGTTAAACTGTGATGATGAGGGGCACCTGGACAGAGGTTGGGTCCGTGGGCAATGAGAAGACATGTTACTCCCTCTCTTGACATGAAGACCTGGTGGGCTTGTGGCCTCCTGCTGCCTTCCTTTCCCTGTCTTCCCATCTCCACTCTCTCCTAGGAAAGTGGAACCTGGATGCTGGTAGGGCCAGAGACAGAGGCTTAACACCCTGCTGGGGAACCCGGTCAGAACTCCCGAGGCAGGAGAGGTTCTGCTCCACTGGATGTTTGTCTTGGTGTTTTTGGATGTGCTGATCAAGAGCAAGATGTTCTGGATTCTTAAAACTCCCCTCACAAGGACCAATCTAGAGATAATTTATTGATCAGTGATCACAGCTTGTACCCCAAAGCCGTGTATGTCTGGATCCTTCCCTAAGACCACAGATAGCTCCAGGGAGTCCCACCTCCTTGGCTATGGAAATATGCTCAGCCCTGGTTTCAGAGAAGCCTGGACTCCACTCTGGACCCCATGAGATGATATGCGCTGGTACTCCAGGCTTTAAATGGCCTGGGAAGCCTCAGTGGATTTTGTTTATTTTCAGCATTGCCATGTATGCTTAACTCTGAGTTGGGGTGGGGTAGGTCTGTTTAAAATGCCAGGGAAGGTGGGCAGCAGAGTGGATTTGTGCAAGAAGGAACCTGGGGGGTTTAAGGACAGCAAAATGATCTTAGGCGTAATTGACTGGTTTTTCTGAGGTCTTGCCACACTGGGCAAGAAAATGCTGCATCGGGCCCTTATTCCAGAGAGTGCAGAGCTGGGGCCAAGGTCGTGGTCAAAAAGGAAAGGAGCCCTCATGGACTCCAGGGTCAGAAGTTCCCTCGGGAAACCAGCAGGAGGTGGGAAAAGAGCCCCATTAGGGCAGTAGATGGAGCAACAGCACTGAGTGAGATTTCAGGGGGCCACAGCAATGGGGAGGTGGCTACCAGTGGATATGGGGTCCCCTGCTCCAGGTGCTTAGGCCAGGCATCCCGTCCCCCCATTGAGAGTCCTGGAATTCCAAAGAAGTGAAGCATCTGAGGGTTGGGGCTGGGGGCAGATGTCAGGGCTCAGGGTCTTAGCAGGAGGCGTGTTCCTGGCCACTTGAGCCACAGGAAGGGGACCAGGCGCCGGGTGAAGGTGGCAGTGAAGGTGTAGATGAGTTCCTGTGACTCTGCGTTGGTGAAAGTCACGGTGCCCCCTTCATAATCCAGGGCGATGCCCACTCTCCGGGGCCGCAGTGCTGGGAAAAGCTCAGCCTCGGGGCTGGTGTTGGCCCAGATGCCGGAGGAGGAGAGGCGCAGCGCCCACACGCCATCCTCTGGCCGCAGGGAGAGGTCTCCCTTCCTCTTCACAGAGTCTCTAGCCACCCCCACCATGCAGCTTTCCAGAACTTCCTCCTCTTCCTCCTCCTCTTCTTCCTCTTCATCGCCCAACGATTCCTCATCTTCGTCCGTTTCCCAGTCGTCATATCCATCCCCATAGCCGGCCTCCTCTTCCTCCTCCTCCTCTTCTCCCTCTTCCTCCTCATCCCCCTCTTCTTCATCCTCAGACCAGCCCTCCCTCTCCACTTCCACTTCCCAGTAGACCTTGCCCCAGGTGAAGCCCTTGCTGCCTAGCACCCCAGGCTCACAGTCAAACTGCTGGGGGTGCAGGTAGGCACTCTTGTACAGGCTGGTGTAGGTCACGCACTTCCAGTCCTCTGACAGCTGCAGGTACCCACTGGCCGACTGTGGGTCCAGGGTGACGCTCACTGTGGGGACAAGGGAAAAAAAAAAAAACAGCATCACTGTTTTGTTTTGTTTTTTAAGTCAGAGGGAATAAAATTTATTTTGGCAGATAGCGTTAAACAAAATTAAAGTTGCATACATTAGTAATATAACTCAACATCCTTAATTTGGTATAAGTGTGACACATTTTCTGGCTTTGTATTCTGCTAAATCACCATAACTAAACTGCTTTATAAACATGATATACTGAAATTT
This sequence comes from Homo sapiens, assembly GCF_000001405.40. Classification (NCBI taxonomy): domain Eukaryota; kingdom Metazoa; phylum Chordata; class Mammalia; order Primates; family Hominidae; genus Homo; species Homo sapiens. The sequence goes on from NT_167244.2 coordinate 1,444,842, forward strand.
AACTTGACTGTTTTCGCTTACGCTCTGATTCCAAACAAAACTTTTCATAAGCTTCCTCTATCTCTGGATCTCTGGGTCCAACTCATCATTAATATCATCCAAGTGTGGATCACCAGTCCCTGAAAAATCTGTTCCATTTTCTTCATAATCCAGAAAAAAAGTCCTCTTTTTCAAGTAACTCTTGATATGCTTCTTGGTAATCCGGATCAGCTGCAGTGAAAGGAACACTATGAAACACAATAACTATGTGAATGACCACTATAAAATGTTGGTTCATTCACATAGTAATTGGGATCTTTTTTGGCTGTTGTATTTCTGTATGATGAAGTTGCATGGACTCTACCCCAATTACTGCACTGGAGTTCTACAAGCTTCAAGAGCATCTGTTTCATGTCTCTGCCACAGCTTGCATCTATAACAACATTTTCAATTTCCTGAATAATTTCTTCCATATCAGTCCTTCCTTTTCCTTCCAAGCATCTTCCAAAACTGACCCTGTCAACTTCAGCAATTTTATTGCACAAATTAAGCTGTCATCCACGGGATTAGAAAAGAGGGCATTCAGGCATTCGGCAACTCCTGAAGACCAACCTGAAGAATATCTGCCCTTGTAACCTGTCCATTTGTTCCTCTGATCTCCAGGTTATGATAAAGCTCTCCCAGAAAGGGTACAAATGCATGAAATTGTTTTGGAGTAACTTCATCCCCTTTTGCAGCTTGATCTTTAATGTCATATTCAGTCCGACATCTTTGAAGTAGAAATTGGCGGAAGGTGCTACTCTCTGTGCTAACTGTCAGATGATGTCAGGTAATTACACAGGTGAGCTCCCATGTAAGAGAAATTTGGGGCTGGGCACGGTGGCTCACGCCTATAATCCCAGCACTTTGGAAGGCCGAGGCGGGTGGATCACAAGGTCAGGAGATCGAGACCATCCTGGCTAACATGGTGAAACCCCATCTCTACTAAAAATACAAAAATTAGCCGGGCATGGTGGTGGGCACCTGTAGTCCCAGCTACTTAGGAGGCTGAGGCAGGAGAATGGCGTGAACCTGGGAGGCGGGGCTCGCAGTGAGCTGAGATCACACCACTACACTCCAGCCTGGAAGACAAAGCAAGACTCCATCTCAAAAAAAAAAAAAAAAAAAAGGCCGGGCGCGGTGGCTCACGCCTGTAATCCCAGCACTTTGGGAGGCCGAGGCGGGTGGATCACGAGGTCAGGAGATCGAGACCATCCTGGCTAACACGGTGAAACCCCGTCTCTACTAAAAATACAAAAAATTAGCCGGGCGAGGTGGCGGGCGCCTGTAGTCCTAGCTACTCGGGAGGCTGAGGCAGGAGAATGGCGTGAACCCCAGGAGGCGGAGCCTGCAGTGAGCCGAGATTGCGCCACTGCACTCCAGCCTGGGCGACAGCGAGACTCCGTCTCAAAAAAAAAAAAAAAAAAAAAAAAAAAAAAAAGAAATTTGGGACAGATGTGGCCTCTGAGTTCCACAAGTTCTTGCAAAGCATCATCTGTTGTAACACAAGCATTCAGGGTCTCTGTAAACTGTTCAATTTCAGTTTCAAAACTACCAGCCTGCTCTGTAAGATGGTTCAAGAAACCCTGAACAGGTACTGACAGAGTGGGATAATCCTCACCATCATCCTCATAGGATTCTCTATAATTAGAATAACCTGATAGGTAAAATTTGACGGTATTCACAGACAGCTCAGACATTAATAAAGAAGCTACAACCACCTAAGGTTTAACCACTGCTAACTCAGTTCTGCTATGGGATTTTATCCTGTGAACTAGATGAAGCTCTCAGGGCCTCGTTTGCTCCCAGACAGGCCGACCTCCTCAATGGTTCTCACGAAAGCAAGTGTGAAAGTGAGCCAGGAGGAGACCACCAGTCTTCACAATCCAAGGGGCACCATTCACATCTTGGTCTATGTGGATGGCGCTCCTTGGTGGTTGGTATGCAGTGTACAACCTAACTGCAGGGCTGAGAGGGGGCACAATAGTGGGGCCTGTGGTGGATATGGCCTCTGGTCTTAGGTTGCCCCTGCTGTTTGCTCTGAATATAGGAGCCATGCAGCCAGGAAGATGAGAGAAAGCTCGGCCACAGGAAAAGGACTGGTGGTAGGACCTGTGAGGATAGGAAAAAGAAAAGCAAACACAGGGCAGAGAAGGATCAGACTAGCAAGCAGAGGCCTCTACTGCAGACTAAAGAGTAGGCTGATTAGAAAGTGCAAAGAGGGAGGGGGGCTTCTATTGTGCAGCTGGGAAATTCTTCCTGTTGCAAAAGGGGCTACCTGGGGGAAAAGTGAGCAGTCAGAATCTCTGCAGGCGGAGTTTTCTATATTTGATGTACATCTGGGAAACACCCTCTAGACACTCACCTGTCTTATATTCCAAGTCTCTCAGCAGCTTCCCTGGGGAGAAAAAAGGACAGCAATGACTCAAGTCCCGAAAATTTATGAGCCCATTTCTTGCTCGGGCAGTATCAATTTCCTGATAGGGATCCATGTCTAAGACAAGAGGCCCTCAGAAGAGTGAGGATCGACAAGGTGATGGAAAGGAGCTGGGTGCGCTCTTTCTACGAGGTAGCCCTGCTCTGACTCCCACCCTTTGTGCGCTCCCCAACCCTTACCCTGGAATTCCCTCAGGCCTCGTTGCAGAGAGAGGAGTTTATCTGAGAATTCTCCGGTCTTTTTTTTAACCACTCGAGCAATGGGTTTCCCAACCCAGAACTTCTTCCGTGGATACCTAAGAAGATGACATACATAACAAGCTGTTACTCAGCTCTTCTTACTTTCCTTCATACTTATCTCTCAATCCTCATGGCAATTATGAAGGGGAGAGGAAAGGTATGATTATCCCCAAACAAGTGACAGAAAAACAGTGGCCCAAAGACACCAGCTGAACCAGGGCTTCAGAACATCAGTAGACTCCACATCCAGGGCGCTCTGTCTACTAAGCCATGTTTCTAACCTCTCTGCTCTGTCCCACCTCAAATAAGGCCAGTGGGCCAAGGAGCTGGGGCTACACAGAGAACCATAAGGAGGAGAGCAAGTCTCCAGTTCTCAATGATGTGTCCTGCTCCTCAGAAGGGCATCAGGATGAACCATGGGATGTGAGTACCTCTGGCACCATACCACTCCCCATGAATTCAAATGCACCTGGTCAGAAGCGGGGGAACATAAACAAGGGGGATGAGGTACGCCATGGAGAGGAGACTCTTTTACCTGTTTAGGAAGTCTCTCGTGTCCTAGAAGGGAAAGAAAAAAGCACAAGTATCAATATGAATCAAATAAGACTTCAATGCATCTGCACCCAACACTGTAGCAGAGATGGGACATATCAGTGAACAAAACAAATGTGGTCCCTTTTTTATGGAGCTGACATTCCAGTGGGGTCACTGCATAAAACAACAAGAAAACAAACAAAATCGGCACAATGACAGAAGCCACAATGGCTGGGAGATGACATGGGCAACCTCTCTGGGAGATACCTGCGCAGAGAATTGACGGATAAGAAGTACTGGCCGGATGAAGAGAGGTAAGGTAAAACAGGAAAGGGCTTGGTGAGAACGGCAGAGGCCAGACTGCGCAGGGCTGGATATGCATGGTAAGGAGTTTCACTTTTGCTCCACGTACAGTGGAAACCCACCAAGGGTTTCAAGTAGGGGCATGATATGTGTGATCCGCTCTACATGTGGCTGAGACTGCTGTGTAACCTCCAGAGTCCACTCTCCCCTTCCTCCTTTTAATAATAGAACCCCCGGAGTTATTGCTGGTCAGGCGGCCACCTGGGAAGACTACATTTTCCAGATCCCCTACGACAAGGTCTGGTCATGAGACTAAGTTCCAGCCAATGGAATGTGATAGAAAGCAATGACCATAATTCTGGGCATTGTCCTTTAAAAAAAGAAAATTGCTTTCTACTTCCTTTTTACCCCAACTGAATTTTGGACATGGTGGTGGTGAGCCCAACTTTGACCACGCAGCAGAGGACAACATCCCTAGAAGCTGGTGGAAGAACCACATGGAAGTAACCCAGTCCCTTGGATAAGCTTATGTACAGCTACTGTGATAGCTCTAGACCCTGCACCTCTGAACTGTTAACTGAGGCAGAAATAAACTTCTATTCTGTTTGCGTCACTGTACAGCAGTGAGCCAAAACCCTAAGTGACCACTCACTTGGCTGCCCCACAGAGAAGGGACTAAGGAGGCAAGAGGAACATGGGGAGGTTGGTCCGGAGGCTTTTGCCGTGGACCAGGGGAGAGCTAAAGATGGCCTGAACTAAGGTGGTGGCAGTAGGGAGAAAAAGAGAGAAGCAATACATTCCAGGTATTTTAGAGACAGATTCAACTGGACATACTGGTCAAGGATAAACAAGAACAGAGCATGGTTTGTACAGGGGGGAGAATGGTGGTGCTATCTCTGTGACAGACAGGTGGTAGGGCAGGGTGAGTGGGAAGAGGGCTATTCTGACATGCTCAGATTCCCTTTTGTGAGTCAAAAGCCTCCTTAATACCCTGTATTAATTGATTTTTGCCTTCCTTTCACTCATTCCACAAATATTTATTAAGTGCTTCCTAGGTACCAGGCACTCATCTAGAAGCCTCAGAACAGTTAAAAAAAAAAAAAAAAAAAGAGAGAGAGAGACAAATCCCTACTTCTGTAGAGCTGACATTCTAGCAGGGGGAAGCAGACAATAATCAATGTAGCAAATACATCATACTACGTGAGTGATACGCACCACGGGAAAAGAGAGCAGAGTGAAGGGGGATGGGAGCAGGGGCCGGTGGGGTGCAGGCTGGCTTCCTGGAGAGGGTGAGATTTGGGAAACAAATGGAATTAACAAATTGTGGCTGCTGATGACTGCTTCCAAAAGTTTGGGAAGAGTTGTGAGCTTTACTCCAGAGGAATAAGACAAGAAGTCAGAGGCACATCCCAACCCCCCGCTATGAAGCAAGTGCCCAGAGACTGGTAGCACATTTCTGGCCAAGTCCTCTAACATGCCCCTCAAAACATGTAAGTCCAAGGCGGCTTCAGAGGACAGGCAACAAAACAGACAGTGTGTCCTGACAGCTCTGCTGACAAAGGTGGCATAAAAGAGCAAATGAATGGAGCAGTAGCTGGAGTGTGGGCCAGAGGCCCATTTGGGCATATTTCCTGACATGGAAGTTCCTAGAACAGTAGAAAGGGAGAGAATCATACAGGAGAAAGAAGAGTCCTCTAAAGGTTAAAGGTTGTGAGCAGCCCAGAGAGGGTGGGTCCCGAGAGCCAGGGCAGGGCTGGCCCTGAGGAGAAGAGGCTGAAAGACTCAGGAGCCCCCATCCACAGCCACATACAGGGCCTCTGGAGGGAAGTGATCCGCCCAAGTCTCCTGGAGGACTCTTCTCACCCAAGACATCTGAAGCTGTCATGAAACAGGCAGAGCCGAGCAGTGGGGCTGCGGCAATGAGTCATGGCAAGCTCCCGGAGGGGATGTGCCCGGTTACTAACAGAGAGCATCAAGAAAGTTCTTCACGGGGGTGTACAGCAGGAGAAGCAGGGTACAAGCATGCCACCTGATCCTGCAGGGCCTGCCCGGGTTACCAGGGCAGGATGCAGTGTCTCTCTGGGCCTCTCCTGTCACCCCAATCCCTTTAATGTCTTCTTGATGCTCCCAGCCCATAGGTTTGTCTTTCCTTTCCTATCACCTCTATCAAAAGGTCTCTTCTATTTTACACATTTTGTCCTGCTGCTTCTCCCTCTCACCTGTATTTCTATTTTATTTTAATTTTTTTGAGACAGGATCTCACTATGTTGCCCAGGCTGGTCTCAAACTCCTGGGTTCAAGCAATCTGCCTGCCTCAGCCTCCCAAAGTGCTGGAATTATAGGTGTGAATCACCACACCAGCCTCACCTGTATTTCTCTATCAGACTTCTGGACCCTATTTTAGGTCTTTTTCTTACTATACTTTGACAGCCAAATAATCTCTGGGAAAATATTAATGCTAATTAGGGAGGTAGCTGTCCAGTTCCCACGCAGTACAATCAAACTCAAATAAGCACACAGACAAAATCTACCAATACCATTTTTCTGCGTATGGTTGGTTACCCAGTTTTCCTAGCACCATTTATTAAAGAGACTGTCCCTTCCCCATTGTATGTTCTTGGTTCCTTTGTTGAAAATCAGTTGGCTGTAAATATGTGAATTTATTTCTGAGTTCTCTACTCTGTTCCATTGGTCTATGTGTCTGCTTTTATATCAATACATGCTGTTTTGGTTACTACAGCTTTGTAGTATATATATATATGTATATATACATATATATGTATCTATATACATATATATGTGTATATATATATACATATATGTGTGTGTGTGTGTGTGTGTGTATATATATATATATATATATATATATTTTTTTTTTTTTTTTTTTTTTAATGGAGTCTCACTCTATTGCCCAGGCTGGAATGCAGTGGCACAATCTCGGCTCACTGCAACCTCTGCCTCCTGGATTCAAGTGATTCTCCTGCCTCAGCCTCCCGAGTAGCTGGGATTATAGGTGCGCACCATCACGCCCAGCTAATTTTTGTATTTTTAGTAGAGATGGGGTTTCACCATGTTGGTCAGGCTGGTCTCAAACTCCTGACCTCGTGATCCGCCTGTCTCGGCCTCACAAAGTGCTGGGATTACAGGTGTGAGCCACCACAACTGGCTGTAGTATATTTTGAAGTAAGATAGTGTGAGGCCTCCAGTTTTGTTCTTTTTGCTTAGGATTGCTTTGGCCATTTGGGGTTTTTTGTGACTCCATATGAATTTTAGTTTTTTTTCTATTTTTCTGAAGAATGTCATTCGTATTTTGATAACAGGGATTGTATTAAATCTGTAGACTGCTTTGGGTAGGACAGTCATTTTAACAATATTAATTCTAATCCACAAGCATGGAATATTTTTCCATTTGTTTGTGTCCTCTTCAATTTCTTTCATCAGTGTTTTGTAGTTTTCATTAAAGAGGTCTTTCACCTCCTTGGTTAACTTCATTCCCAGGTATTTTATTTTACTTTTGTAGCTATTGTAAATGGGGTTGCTTTCTTGATGTCTTTTTTAGCTAGTTTGTTATTGGTGTATTAAAAATGCAGTAGACTTTTTATGTTGATTTTGTATCCTGCAACTTTACTGAATTTGTTTATTAGTTCTAAGGGTTTTTTGGTGGGGCCTTTAGGTTTTTCTACATATAAGTATAGCCGTTACGGAAAACAGTATGAGAGTTTCTCAAAAAACTAAAAATAGAACTACCATATGATCCAGCAATCTCATTACTAGGTATTTATCCAAAGAAAAGAAAATCAGTATATCAAAGGGATACCTGCACACTCATGTTTATTGTGGCACTATTCACAATAGTTGAGATGTGGACTCAATCTAAGCATCCATCAACAGATAGATAAAGAAAATGTAGCATATATACACAATGGAGTACTATTCATCCATAATAAATTTGAGTTCATGGAAGTAAGACAGTAGAATAGTAATGATTAGAGGTTGGGAAGGGGGCTGGGGAGAGGAGGGTGGGGAGAAGTTGGTTAACAGATACAAAGTTATAGCTACATGGGAAGAATAAATTCTAGTGTTGTGCAGCATTGCAGGGAGAATATAATTAACTATAATTTACTATACATTTTCAAAAAGCTAGAAGAGAGGATTTTGAATGTTCCAACACAAAGAAATGATAAGTGTTTGAGGTGACAGATATACTAATTACTCTGAGTTGATTATTATATATTATATACTTGTATCAAAGTATCACTCTAGGCCAGGCACAGTGGCTCACGCCTGTAATCCCAGCACTGTGGGAGGCTGAGGCAGGCGATCACCTGAGGTCAGGAGTTCAAGACCAGCCTGGCCAACATGGTGAAACCCTGACTCTACCAAAAATACAGAAAATAGCCAGGTGTGGTGATGTGCGCCTGTAATCCCAGCTATTTGGGAGGCTGAGGCAGGAGAATCGCTTGAACCCAGGAGACAGAGGTTGCAGAGGCAGGAGAATTGCTTCAACCCAGGAGGCGGAGATTACAGTGAGCTGAGATCACGCCACTGCACTCCAGCCTGGGAGACAGAGCGAGACTCTGTCTCAAAAATAAACAAACAAAAACCTCTACATCCCATAAATATATACATTATATAGCACTAAAATTAAAAGAGAAAACACAAAACAAAAAAAGAAACCTACCAGTACCAATAACATTTCCTATACTAGTTTCAAGCTGACACCATTTTCTCTCCCTTCCCTTGACCTTATCCCACCCCAGGGAGAGCTGCAATCTGAGTGCTCTGAGTCATTGAGGGCCAGGCTTCTGCTCTGAGGGCCACTTCTCTGGGTGCATTAGGAAAAGGCACCCCTCCGGGCAAACACAATGGATTTCAGCCCCACCACATCCTCAGCTGTGTGCCTCTGTTCCACACAGTAGGCATTCACACATGGCAGGGGCGTGAGGAGAGGAAGGAGAAGAGAAACGGGCAAAAGGAGATGCAGAAAATGACCCAGTCAAAGAGTATGACGAGAGAAATCTGAGAGAACAGAATGACATCTGGAGGAAAAGAGGGGGCCAGAGAGACATTCTGGACAAAATAAGAACAAGAGCTCAGAGCCCAGGAGTCAGGACATCTGGGCTCAAGCTGTGACCTGACACCCACCCCATGGCCTGGGACAAACTCCTCCCACTCTCTGGACCTCAGTGACTTCATCAGTAGGGGCTGAACTGGAAGGTCTAAAATCCCTGCCAGTCCTCATTCTGTACATCTGAATTCACAACAATGAGGAGCAGGTGGCCGCCTCCTTCTGCAGTCTGTCCCAGTGCACATACTGCAGAGTCTGCCTTGCTATCTCTCCCTCCTAGCTATTGCCCTGCCATTAGCCTGGGACTCCACCTTCCTAGAGATCCTGGGTGGCTCTGCTGCTGACAGACAGACCCAGCCACCCTAAACAGTGCAAGTGGGGGAATACCATCAGAGAGCCCCTCCCCTCCCAGCCTATGAGAGCAGGAAGGTTGAGCCCTCTACCCCTCCAAAGGGGACTGGGCCCTCTTCAGGGTAAGTGTGATCCCCAGAGGCTCCCGGGGGGGAGGAGATGTGGTGCCATTTCAGCTTCACAGCCAGTTCTTCAGCCCCAAACCCTCCCTTTCTCACTATCAAAGCCCCCTCCTCTAGGAGGTGCCCCGAGGCCCCCTTGTCTGCTTTCCATCTTGTTCTCTGTGTGGTAATCCCATGGGCCAAAGAAAACCTGGCCATCTCTGTCTCCCTTCCCCAGTTACCCTATCTCTTCCAGATCCTCTGGGTCTTTGAGAGGAGCTGCTGGTCAGCCCTCCCTCAGCCACCCCCAACCACAACACCATAAAAAGCTTCCACCAGCTGCTAAGTGTCTGCCAATGACTTGTTAAGAGGGCTTGTGATGGCAGTGATGAGGATGGAGGATGGTAAATGATATTAATAATCTTCCCTTCCATTTTCTACTATACCATTTAGTTTTTTGAACAGTTTTGTGTAAAAAGTTTATTTTTTGAAGTGACAGCATGCCAGTTATTTCATTTTATGCTCATGCAATCTACAGACTAATTGGCAGCAGTAAGGATTATCATCTCCATGTTTCAGATGACAAAACTGAGCCCCCAAGTCTTCTAAGGTCCTGCAAGTGAATGGCAGGGCTGGGACCCACCGTCCTGGTCCCTGGCGCCCTGCCCAGGGACGGCCTCTCACCTGCATGAGCTCTGCAGCTGGCTGCTGCGCCTTGCCCTCCAGTTCGGAGATGACCAGGGCCAGCCGGGCAAGCTCCCCGACGCCCCGGCTCTTGAACTTCTCCCTGCCCTCCGTGAGCTCCTGCTCCAGCTTCGCCAGCTGTTCCAGCAGGTGTTCCTCCCGCTCCCTCAGGAACTGATGACCCTGCTCAAACTCAGCCACAATGTACTGCCTCTGGTCCTGGAGCTTCTTCTGCAGGGGGCAGGAAGGGGAGAAGGGCTGACACCTCTGCTCAGGGTGGAGGGCCCAGTGCTGGAGGTGTGCAAGGCTGGCTCGTTCACCTCGCTACCCCCGTTCAGGAATTCTACAGGATCTGGAGTGGGAGGAGCTACAGAGGGTTCCTGGTCCACACTCCGCTTCTCAAAGAAGACTCCAGTAATGAATTAGTTCAGTTCACCCCACCACTATATGGTCAAAACCCTGTCTCCACCTGACTGGTCAGCCACAATCTGTTCTAGCTAAACCAGTACGCTCTGGGGCCCCTAGAGAAACTCTGTGGGTCTCACTCATGAGCCGACGCACTTTTCCCTCCTGGACAAAATCTGTCACCTCTTCCAGGAAGTTTTGCTTGATTAATGTCATCTAAGCCTGACCAGCCCTCTCTTCAGCACCCCACTGTTCAGTCTAAAATATCTATATGTACCCCACCCCTGCCATGTAAGACTGCATCCTGTTTCCTCAGCAAAATTGTGTGACGTCTGTGCTTAGGGACTATGTCCTTTCCTGCCTCCAAATCTCCTCCCCAGCTGGGGTTGGGGGAGTCCTCAGTGGCCCTGTTGACTGGTGCTGAGCTGGGGGCAGCCATGCACACTGAGGGCCTGGAGGGGTCCTTGGACTTGGCTGTCTCTAGCTTACTGTTTCCCTCTCCCTAGGCCTAATGACTCACCACTGGCCCTGACCCCACTACTCCTCCACTGCCCACTTCCTCAACATACACAGTTCCCCAGAAAATCAGAACCATTTGATCAGTTCCCCCCAACCCCATCTCTAATCAAGTACATAATGTGCTGCCTGTTTTCTAACTACAGTTGTCCCTTGGTATCAGTGGGTGATGGGTTCCAGGATCTCCCTCCCCAAGGATACCAAAATCCAAGGATGCTCAAGTTCTTATGTAAAATGGAATAATAGTTACATAAAATCTACTATATACTTTAAATTATCACTAGATTACTTATAATGCCTAATATAATGTAAATGCTATATAAATAGCTGTTACACTGAATTGTTTAGAGAATAATGACAAGAAAAAAAATCTGTACATGTTCAGTAGAGACGCTTTTTCTTTTTTCTGAATATTTCTGATCCATGGTTGGGTAAATTCGCCGCTACGGAACCCACAGATATGGAGGAGGTCCCACTGTACTGGCAACCATGATCCTGGGCCTGGACCTCACTACATACAGTGCCATCAGAATTGGCAGACCTGCCTTAGCTGTTTTCTAGCCCTTCCCTCTCAGTTCTTACCCTGGAGCCAGCTCCCTCCTTCTAAACCCTCTCCACTCTCAGGCAACCTTGTCTCTCTCTCTCTCTTTGAAAGGAAGAATGAAGCCACACCTTCTTCAGTCCCCTGGCAGAAGAGAACCAGCAGCTGGACATGGGCCCTGCCTTCAAGGTGACAGTCACAGAAAACGGAAGGGACTCTAGCTGACATCCAGGCAGCCCACTTGTCTCTCAGACAAGAAACAGGCCCAAGACTACACGGCTCAGAAAGACAGCACTTGGGCTAAAACCCAGGTCTGCTACTGCCAGGCTGACACCCATCCTCCCTGTGAGCAGCGCCTAGAAACACCTCCCAGCTGCCGCCTACTTGCCCAGGCTCACCCTGCCCTACACGGGCGCACCGCCTCAGGGCTTCCTGAAACAGCCTCACTTACCAGCGCGGCCAGGATATCAGCTTCTCCCTTTGCCTGGAAGCCCTGAATTTTGTCTCTGTCCCTCCTTAGGGTACTCAGGTGGTTCAGGATTTTTTCCTGTGGAAAAACAAGCAGTGGCAACAGGTGGATGCTCTGGGCTGGGGCAGGAAGGGAGACTCAGGCTGAGTCCTCTGAGGACTGCAAGGTGGAGCATCCAGAGAAGGTGGCAAGGCACCCTCGGGGGTGAAGAGGGCTTACCCTGTGGGGCTGGGCGGCCTTCTCCATGAGGACGGCCGTGTGGGGCCTGTGCTCCCGGGACTCCCGGCACATCACGCACAGCAGCTTCCCGTCGTCCTCACAGTAGTAGTGCAGCTTCTCTCGGTGTCGCTCGCACAACTTTGCATCCTGCTGCTCCCGGGTCACCTCTCCCGGCTGCCTGCCCTTGTCCACCTTCAGCCGCTCAATGTTCTCCACCAGGCTGGCCAGTTGCCACACGGGTCGGATGTTCTCCTTCTTAAAAGGCTTCTTGCAGAGTGGGCAGACGGGGCGGCTCCCTGAGATGGGGCGGACGTCTGTGGTGCAGCTGCGGCAGAAGACGTGGCCACAGTCAATGGTCACAGGGTCCCGCAGGTAATCAAGACAGATGGAGCAGGTCACCTCCTCTTCCAGGCTCCGTAGTGGGGCTGACGTGGCCATGGTATCCTTAGTTCAGAGAGGTCTCCGTTCACTGGTGAGGACTTCTTCTCCTTGAAGACGCGACATAGAGTCAGGAGCAAGCACAGTAAAGGGGCAAAGGTGGCAGCCTGCACAGGGCTGCCAGCTCCAGCACTCAGTCAATCGACAGACACCACCAGCTCCTACAAGGTTCACACAATGTCAACGAGAAGAGGACCTTATAGATCTAGTCCAACTTCCTCATTGTACAGATAAGGATATGGAAACCCAGAAAGATTAGCTTGGTAGAGTGAAGAGCAGGACAGCCACTAGCCTATACCTTGCTGTTGGGAGAGCCTCAACACCCTTTCCTTCTATCTGTTGGAAAATCGCTGTAATGCACCAACTGTAATAAAAAATCTCTCACTACCTGCTGGGAAACTCATAATGATACATATATAAATCTACAATGTCTACTGTGGACACAGTGCTCCTTCACTCAACTGTGCAAAGCACAAGACACACGAGCAGTCATGGGGGTCCTGACAGAGTCAAGAGACCGCCCGTTTTTTTTTTTTGGTTTTTTTTTTTTTGAGATGGAGTCTTACTCTGTCGCCCAGGCTGGAGTGCAGTGGCGTGATCTCAGCTCACTGCAACCTCCGCCTCCCAGGTTCACACCATTCTCCTGCCTCAGCCTCCCGAGTAGCTGGGACTACAGGCACCCACCACCACACCTGGCTAATTTTTTGTATTTTTAGTAGAGACGGGGTTTCACCGTGTTAGCCAGGATGGTCTTGATCTCCCGACCTCGTGATCCACCTGCCTCGGCCTCCCAAAGTGCTGGGATTACAGGCGTGAGCCACTGCACCTGGCCAAGAGACCCCTTTTGTTTGCTCCTCAAGGTTTCAGGTTTCAAGAACTAAGAGAGGGCAATGTGACATGGCTCACCCTGTAAATCCAACACTTTGGGTGGCTGAGGCAGGAGGATCACTTGAACCGAGGAGTTTGAAACCAGCCTCAGCAACATAGTGAGACCCTGTCTCAACTAAAAAAATTTAAAAATTTTTTAAAATACCCCAGTGTAGTAGCATGCATCTGTAGTCTCAGCTACTGAGGAGGCTGTGGCAGAAGGATTACTTGAATCTGGGAGGTGGAGGCTACAGTGAGCCATGATTGTACTACTACACTCCAGACTGGGCAACAGAATAAGAGACTGTCTCAAAACAAACAAAAAACCAGAAAACATTAAAAAACAAACAAACAAACAGCACTGAGGTTCTTTACCAAAACTCGAGAAGCATCAGGAAGCTTCAGGAGTCTGACTGTCAGCATTTCCCTTTGTGAGTATTTCCCTGGGCTGTTCTATAGTTTGGGTTTAATTTGCTTCCCCTAGAAGGCTGGACTCTAAACACAGCCCTCCAGAGGAGCACAGCTTAGCCTCAGTGGACTTGTTCTTGGCTGTAACTGCCTCGTCTAGATGGCAGGAATCCTCAGGTGGCTGTGGCTGCTATGTGCTGTGAGGCCTTGGCTTGTACAGGGAGCGGGGACACACAGAAAGGACTCTGCTTCTGTTTACCTTTGTAGTCCTGACCCAGTTCCAGGCTGAGGTTATGAGCCTCAGCACATCTAACCCAAGAGCAGCCTCCTGCCCCTGACTCTGTGTGACAATACAGAAGTCACTTAAGTACTGAGCCTCAGTGTATCCATCTGTAAAATGGGAAGAGTGATACTTACCTTTAAGGGTTTCTAAGCAGGTCATGTGAAAGAATTATGGGAAAAGTGCTAAGCACAAGCCTGGTACACAGACGGAAATCTAGGAGAGAACCCACAACCCCTGGTTTCCAAATCCAGTGAGTGTCCAAACCACAAACAAAGAGTTAAATTCAAAAGTGGCAGCAAAAGAGGAAGTGAGCAGAACCAGCCACAGTGACACACGTGCTACAGAGTTCAACAACATCGTCACAGGGCAGTACCTGGAGGACTTGCTCTCCTATAGATCCATGGAAGGCAACTACAGCAGCGCTGGGAAGACAACCAGCAGGGCACAGAGGTGACTGCGAGGCTGGAATGAAGCAACCTGAATTACAGGCAAATCAATACTATTAATGATTATGTATGGTGAAAGTCCATCACAACAGAGTTCAGTGGCCTCTGTCAGTAGTGACATTAATGGGACAGAAATAAAACCCCCAGTCTATAAGACCCAAGAGTAAACAAAACAGGGATATAACGTCCACTCATTGAGGGTCTAGTACAATAATACATAAAAAGTGTTTTATAACGTAAAAGGACTACATAAATATAAGAGATTCTTATAGTGCTGATAATAAATTCCAACTGGAAGCACTAATGGATCTAGGTATGTGTGACTTTAAGAGACATAATGAGGGGAAAATCAAGCACCTTCAAAGCTCAAATGAAGGATTCAAGGAATTTAACTGTCAAGTGAAAGTAATATCAAGTTCCTACATGTTAGTAATGCTGGTAGAAATGCTAGGAATTGGCCGGGCACGGTGGCTCACACCTGTAATCCCAACACTTTGGGAGGCCGAGGCAGGTGAATCACAATGTCAGGAGATTGAGACCATCCTGGCTAACACGGTGAAACCCCATCTCTACTAAAAATACAAAAATTATCCAGGTGTGGTAGCATGCACCTGTAGTCCCAGCTACTCAGGAGGCTGAGGCAGGAGAATCAATCACCTCAACCCGGGAGGCAGAGGTTGCAGTGAGCCGAGATCGTGCCATTGCACTCCAGCCTGGGTGACAGAGTGAGACTCCATCTCAAAAAAAAAAAAAGAAAGAAATGCTAGGAATTGCCTGGTCCAACTCCTTGGCTTTACTGTTGAGGAAATAAGCCTGGCTCAGCAGTTTTTCAGTTGTAACATACTGCAAGTGTTTGGAAAGAGGAAAAAGGAGTGGTACTGGGCGTGTCTGTGGGCTTTCAAGCCCTTTATCATGCCTCTTTGCCAAATGGCCTAGAAGTTTAAAAGCTGAGGTTTTTCTTTGTTGAAGGATAGCCTGTGTTATCTTTGGGTTGGGAACTTATTTTGCAATTTACTTGCAAAATAAGAACAATAAAAGGACTATGAAGAGCTCAGCTACAGCTCTTCTTCCATGCAAAACAGGACACCTCATCACCCAGGCTCCATGCTGGGGTTTGATGGTCTCTAAACCTCCTGAAACTGTCTAAAAATTATTGCATATGTACTAGATACCTAAAATTGTCTGGGGATTACAGAAGAATAACCTTCTGTAAGATTAATCAGCAAATAAGTAGAAGAGGGATAACAGAATTAGAAAATCATTTTGCGACTGCCATTATAATAGCACAAGGATCATCAATAGATGCTAAAACTATTAGGTGAAAAGTTTTGGGGGATGAGATAGTACCCATGGTGCCAAAGCACCAATGAATGGATTACTTCCTGACATACCTTCATAAGGAAGAGATCCAGTGGTTATCTTAACTAAGTGACCAAATCCAGCGTCATCAGCAGACGGGGCAAAGTGGCATGTGCTTTCTGGCATGGCACTATATGAATCACACAACATTACCTATGAAGTGTTTGTGCCAAAAATGTTTGACTTGAATGAATCTAGTCAAGACTTTAGATCTAACTTCCAGTTTATAAAAAATATAAAGGAAAGGAATACTCTGAAGTATGTTATAACTGAAAAAGTACCGATGGAGGAATTAAACCACACCATAAGGAAAGAACCAGATAAATCCAGAATGCTGGACATTGCACATGGCAACTGGCCTAGTCTTTTAAAAAGTCAATGTCATAAAAAAAAACCTTCGAAAGAACTGCTTTTGATTTTTACAGACTAAAGAGAAATAATAACCAAATGCAATACGTGAACCTTGATTGGATCCTGTAAAAAGAAAAAAAAGGTTATAAAAATAGTCTTGGAACTATTGTGGGAAATTTGTAAGTAGGCTGGGTGTTAGATCATATTAAAAAATTATTTCCTCTCTTTCTTTTTTTTTTTTTTTTTTTTGAGACAGGGTCTTACTCTGTCCCCCAGAGTGCAGTGGAACTATCTGGGCTCACTGCAACCTCGGCCTCCCTGGCTCAAGCAATCTTCTCATCTCAGGCTCCCGAGTTGCTGCAACAACAGGTGCATACTACCACACTTGGCTAATTTTTAAAGGTTTTTGTAGAGAAGAGTTGCCACTATATTGCCCAGGCTGGTCTCAAACTCCTAGGCTCAAGCCATCCTCCCACCTCAGCCTCCCAAAGTGCTGGGATTATAGGCATGAGCAACTGCACCATGTCTAAAATTATTTTCTTAATGGTATTTACTGAGGTTATGTATGAGAATGCCTATACTTCTTATTTATTTATTAATATATTTATTTATTTTTGAGATGGAGTTTTTCTCTTGTTGCCCAGGCTGGAGTGCAATGGCGCAATCTGGCTCACTACAACCTTCGCTTGCCAGGTTCAAGCGATTCTCCTGCCTCAGCCTCCCTAGTAGCTGGGATTACAGGTGCCCACCACCACATCCGGCTAATTTTTTGTAGTTTTAGTAGAGACGGGGTTTCACCAGGTTGGCCAGGCTGGTCTCAAACTCCTGACCTCAGGTGATCCACCTGCCTTGGCTTCCCAAAGTGCTGGGATTACAGGTGTGAGCCACCGCGCCCGGCTGAGAATACCTGTATTTCTAGGCAATGGATGCTGTAGTATTTAGAGCTCCATGTCTCCCACCTAATTTGAAATGGTTCCTTTCTTTTTTTTTTTTTTGAGACAGGGTCTTACTCTGTCCCCCGAGTGCAGTGGAACTATCTTGGCTCACTGCAAAGCAAAATAAAAAGCTAGAAAAGTTTTCTGGGGAGGGAGCTACAGTTTTCTATCACATTCTTAAAGAGGTCTGTAGTAACCATCAAAAATGGTTAAATCACTGATACAGAGATCATGGTGCTTGACACCTTGTAGAAGCTCAATACACATTTACTGAACAAGTGAATGGATTCAGGGGAATTGCAGACAATGTTAGTTGTATAGAACCATTTGTTTTTGAGAGTCTGCCATAACTAGATAAATGAAACACAGTACCACTTCTATGACCAATCCCTCCCCTTGCTTATACAGACTCCTTCTGAGGAAACTGAGGCTCAGCAGGGTTAAGCAACTTGCCCAAGAGCACATGGCTAGGAAGCAGTGTCTGGTGCCAAGGCCTCTGCTCAATCCACTACACTCTCTTCCCTACCCAGGCACACTGTAAAATGGGGTCTAATACCAGCTCCTTTGTTAGGAAGCTCAGATGAGGTCATCTACATGGAAGGGCTTTGTAAGCGGAGTAATGCTGACAAAAGAAAGGGGGCATATATTCTGCTGATACTGACCAAAAGCACCCTAGCCTTAGCTATGACAAACTTTCACATATGGGGTGAGCAATAAAGTGTCCCTGTTGGACAGTAGTTTTCCTTCTTAGTGATAGAGGATCTCAAGATTTCAGAATTAGGAGAAATGAGGTTGAGTATGAGAGATGTGAGCAGACCAGAATAACCGCTCCCCTTCCCCATACACAATTCTGTCCGGTCCAATGCAAAATTCACCCTCTCCAAAAACTCTTCCCCAACTTACCGCACCCTGCTATGGTTCTGCCCTTTTATGCCGTCAGTATATTCTCTGTGATCTCAACAGGTTTCCACAATAAGAGGTAAAACCATTACCCTTCTCTCCATTCCTGACTCCTGGGCAGACAGAAACCAAAATCAGAGCCAAAAAAAAAAAACCTCAGAGATGACCCACTCCACCCCCACTCCCTTTACTCAGATGAGAATTCTGAACCTGAAGAAGTCACTTCATGAACTCCCTTGCACCAGAGGTCACACATCCCTGCTGGGGGTGAGGGGGTATTTTTCTGTCTCTTCAATAAACCAGAAGCGGCCGGGCGCGGTGGCTTCTGCCTGTAATCCTAGCACTCTGGGAGGCAGAGGCGGGTGGATCACCTGAGATCGGGAGTTTGAGACCAGCCTGACCAACAAGGAGAAACCCCATCTCTACTAACAATACAAAATTAGCCAGGTGTGGTGGCGCATGCCTATAATCCCAGCTACTGGGCAGGCTGAGGCAGGAGAATCGCTTGAACCCAGGAGGCGGAGGTTGCAGTGAGCTGAGATCACGCCAATTGCACTCCAGCCTGGGCAACAAGAGCAAAACTCCATCTCAAAAAATAAAAATGAAAAAATAAACCAGAAGCTAGCTGCAATTCTATAGAACCAGGAAGATGCAACAAACAAGCCCTGCAATGTCCTGGTACCCTCCTCACAGGCAGAACTGCAGACACTCCCTACCTTTCTCTAAGAGGTTCCCTTTTCCCTGAAATCCACCCCTCCCCTATAAGTCTCTGGATCTCATAAATACCTAATCTGCATATGTCAACAGACTGGTCAAGGTGACACCATGTAATTTCAAGATGTGGATGCATGCACGATTATTGGCTCCAAGAATAATCACTATGAGCTACAAAAACTAGCTGAAAGCCGGGCACGGGGGCTTGTGCCTGTAATTCCAGCACTGTGGGAGGCTAAGGCAGGAGGACTGCCTGAGCCCAGGAGTTTGAGACCAGCCTGGGTAATATAGTGAGACATTGTCTCCAAAAAAAGAAATTAGCTGAATTAGCTGGGTGCGATGGCACATGCCTATAGTTCCAGCTACTTAGGAAGTTGAGGCAGGAGGATCTCCCGAGCCCGGGAAGTTGAGGCTGCAGACAGCCATGACTGCGCCACTGCACTCCAGCCTGGGTGAAACTCTGGCCTGCCTCCGGCTCCTAGATGCCACCCAGAGAGGTGCCCTGGTAGACAGTGAATCCCAAATGTGGACTCTGGGGCCCAAGAAAGTAAATGGAGAGGCCTGGGTTTTCATCCTGGCCTCCAGGGTACCAGTTCAGGCCTCTCTTGAGTATCCCAAGCTGCTTCTCAAGCATATGTCTGGACCTCCAAACAAGAGCAAAGCACCTGTAATCCCAAAGCACTTAGCCTAGAGCTCCATTCCCTGTGGGTACTCCATTTAAGGGCTCCTGGGTCCCAGATTAATCCCCATATTTTAATCTGAGATAAGCAAACTCTCCATGGGGTAAACTTCCGTGAGACACCTCTAACAAACCTGGAGAGGCCAGAATTCGGGGCAAAAAGCAAGTGATCTGGATGTGCATACTAGGAGTGACTGCACCCCTACTGGCCAGGCCAAAGGCCTGGATCCCAGGCTGTCCCAGGAGATCCCAGTGACTGTGGATGATGCGTTCTTGTGGTCACACTTGGCTTACTTTCCCCACGGAGCCGAGCATCAGTGGTGCTCTGAAGCACAGTGCAGGCCACAAAAACTACCAGGGCTCTGAACGCTAGAAATCCCCACAGGGCTCAAAGAGGGGCAGGAGGTAGCAGCCAGCTGGGAGGTGGATGAGACAAGGCGTTAAATTGCCCTGGTCTTGTGGCTGACCCACAGGGGAAAATTGAGGGTTCTTCATATTTGTGCCAGAATATCTGTCTAATGTTGAATCATGAACCAAGCTCTCTTGTCTAAAATATTCCTAAGTGTCACTTGGTGCTTTGCACCAAATATAGGAAGGAATCCTTTATCATCTTGTGGAATGGTTCAAACCTTGACTACACATCAGATTTGTAGTCTTCAAACTGGTGAGTCTTCAAAACATACCTAGACCAACTGACTTAGGATCTCCAGAGGTGGCCCAGGCTCTGGTATTAAAAAACAAACTTCCCAGGAGATTCTAAAGTCTATCCAGGACTGTGAATCACTAGAACCCCTTATTTACAGAGGAGGACAGTGAGTGCCAGAGCCTCGGACTCATTTGCCCAGCAGCAGAGCTGGCTGGCAGCAAGGCCAGCACTAGCACGAGGTGGGGTGAGGTGCACCTCCCAGCTCTGGGCTCCTTCCATTCCACCATACACTGCACTTTGGTGCCTGGAAAATGAACTCTTCCCTGCCCATATGGAGTGCTGTGGAGGGTTAGCCTCACAGGCAGAGGAAATCATCCGCCGGAGAAAGGGTAGCGGTGAATTTGAGGAGCTGACAATTGGCCACAGGTGGAGTGCAGTGAGGCGAGCAGAGGAAGGGTGGAGAAACAGGAGGGAACAGATTATGCAAGACTGTGACCCAGGTTAAGAATTTTGGACTTTATCCTAACAGCCCTGGGAAGCCATTGAGGGTTTAAGCAGCAGGATGTTGAAAGTTATTCAACAGCTAGCAGATGTTTATTAGGTGCCGACTATGTGTCAGGCACCGAGGTTACAGCAGAGAACAAAAGTGGCAAACTCCCTGTCCTACCAGAACTTACATCCAGTGACCTGAGGAATCCTTTAGAAGCTGAAATCAGATCCAACTGTGGGATCATCAAACCCTCAAGGGTTTCCTGATTTACATAAACCTCCTCTCCCCTTTGCTGCCCCAGTGCTGCAGCCACTCTGGCCTTTTGATCCTCAAACACACTCGGTCACGTGTTAAACTGCCAATCTGCCCGGGTGACCAACCAGGTTAAACCCCTCAATGGCTTTCTGGTGCTCCAGGAATAAAGTCAAAACTCCTGTCCTTCCTTTCTTCTGTGAGGAGGCTGTCCCAGGAGATCCTAGCTGGATTCCCAGATAATCATGGCCCAGCCTGTGTCTCCAGGCTCATTTCCTGCCACTCCCCACCTCAAACTCACAGCCAAACCAAACCGCTCTCCATGCCTCAAAGTGCTATGCTCTTTCCTGGCTAAGCCCTTCGACAATGTAATTCCTTCTGCCTAGAACACCATCCCTTTCCCACTTAGCAAATGCCTTTTCTAGCTTGAAGTCTCAGCTGAAAGCCACCTCCTCTGGCAATTCTTTCCTGACCTGTCAGATTGGGTCCACATGTAGTCTAGTTATACAGCCCCAAAACACCCCATGCTGCACCCTGTACTTCTCTGCAGTTTTAAGTCCTGACTTATTAGTGTAATTACTCGCTTAACACCAGCTTTTTCCATGAAACAAGGAGAGAGATTGTGTCTGTCTTATCACCAGAATCTACATATTACTTGGCACAGAGTAGACAATAAAAACTGACTGAGAAAACAAAGCACAAGCACAGAGTATCTGACACAAAGAAGATGCTTCCTACACATCTGCTGAAGGAATGCGAACAATCTTAGCCACCTGCCCTTTCTCTCCAGCAAGATGGTAGTAAATTGGTAGAGAGAGAAGCAATTTCTTCATATTCCCTGTAGCAGCAAGAACAGTGGGCTGCACGTCACCAGCAAATCATCGTATCCAAGGTTTCGCTCCAGCAACTTACAGAAACCAGGAGAAGAAAAAGCTGTGTCTGAGAAAATGGTTGTTGTGGAGTAAATTGTAATAGTGAGAATCACTCCTTCCCTTTTCTTTAGTTTTAGACCTAGGTATACACCCCATAAACAGAGTTTATTTTCTCAGGTTTTGAGCCTCAAATGAATGGAATTTTTTTCCTTTTTTTTTTTTTTTTTTCCATGTATTTGGGTGGGGGGCTGTCAACATGTTTGTGAGGCTCATCCATGTGATTATGAGCTGATTTTACTTAATTGCTGCTCTCTAACTATACAATTTTTAATGCAGTCTACTGATAGCCATATGAGTTGTTTCCAGTTTGGGACAATTACAAACACTGCTTCAGTGAATATTTCTGCATACATGTTCTAGCACACACAGGCAAGATGTACCCTCAATTTGACTAAGCAGGCCAAACTGTTTCCAAAGTGACTATAGTGCTATGTAGTCTGCTCAGCAGGCTATGAGCACTCATGATGCCCCACAGCCTCACCAACACCTGATAATATCAGCTTTAATTTTTGCCACTCTGGAGGATGGGATATAGAATATGTGTGTGTGTGTGTGTGTGTGTGTGTGTGTGTGTGTGTGTATTTAACTCCCCAAAAGGAAACAGCATGAGACAGGCCCAATAACAGGCCAAGGAATCCTATAGCAGCAGACCAGATATTGTGCTCCTCGACCCAACCAGTAAATGTTGTAAATGTTTATCTTTGGGGAGAGAAGGGGAAGGGCCCACCCAGCTTCTGTTCTTCTTTCCCTTGGTAACTTACCATCTATGAGTTAGTGAGATGGAGACATCCTAACCATTAATCCAGGGAAAGGGAGGAATCTAAGCCATCAGCAAGGGAGTTAGTGCTTTTCATCAAATTTGAGACACCTGTGACATCACATTTTAGCATCTCTGAAATGTGATCAATTGCATGTCATAATTTAACTGGCAAAATATTTTTTTGATGTGGAGCATAAAATAAGGGCACATAAAAGATTTGGTGGTGCTGTGGTTTGAACATGTCCCCCAAAAGTTCACGTGTTGGAAACGTAATTGCCAATGTAACGGTATTAAGAGGTGGGGTCTTTAAGACGTGACTGGGTCATGAGGGTGTAACTCTCATGAATGGATTAATGCCTTTCTTGCAAGAGTCCATTGGCCAGAACCGTGAGCTGAATAAACATCTGTTGTTTACAATTTACCCAGTCTGTGGTATTCTGTTACAGCAACAGAAAATGGATTAAGACAAATAGCATCTTAGATTTGGTGAGATGTGGCATATTTCCTAAAAAGTGCTGCCAGGATCATCCTTCTAGCACACAGGATCTCATCCTTGTTATTCTCCTGCTTCAAATCTCCTAGCTGAGGCTGGGTTTGGTGCCTCATGCCTATAATCCTAGCACTGTGGGAGGCTGAGGCAGGAGGATCCCTTGAATCCAGGGGTTCAAGACTAGCCTGGCCAACATAGGGAGAGACTGTCTCTAAAATAAAATAAATAAATAAAAATAAAAATAAAAATAAAAACAAACACACCAAAAAAACTCCTACTAGCTGAGGTCAAAACTGCACAGGTGGCCGGGCACGGTGCCTCACGCCTGTAATCCCAGCACTTTGGGAGGCCGAGGTGGGCAGATCATGAGGTCAAGAGATCGAGACCATCCTGGCCAACATGGTGAAACCCAGCCTCTACTAAAAATACAAAAATTAGCCGGGCATGGTGGCACGCGCCTGTAGTCCTAGCTACTCGGGAGGCTGAGGCAGGAGAATCGCTTGAACCCAGGAGGCGGAGGTTGCAGTGAGCTGAGATCACGCCACTGCACTCCAGCCTGGGTGACAGAGCGAGACTCTGACTCAAAACAAAAAAAAAAAACTGCACAGACATCCTCCCCTGCCCTGCATCCGGCTAGCCCCAACTTACCCATCCAGCCCCAAATCCCTCCTCGTCCTACCTAATTCTCTGGCCATTAGATACACTGAACCAGGAAGACAGCCCCTTCTTCACTCCCCACTCTCCACCCATTCCCTTGTACATGCTCTTCTCTCCAGTCCAGCGCATCCTTGAAGGCTTGAATACAATTTGTCCCCTTATCTGTGAGGTGTTTCCTGTACCCATCCCACCTCTGAGTTGAATGTATCCCTCCTCCTGCAGCTTTGCATACACTGTATTTCTACAATAGCACTATCACAGTGCTTCATACAGTAGCACCCCCCATCCGCTAAAGATACATTCATACAGGAGTCCCCTCAATCCTCAGGAGATGCATTCCAAAACCCCCAGTGGATGTCTGAAACCTGTTTCTCCTACACATACACACTTGTAATAAAGTTTATAAAGTAGGCACAGAAATAGATTAACAATAATAACACAACAGAATAACAATATACCGTAATAAAAGTTATATGCATGTGGTCTCTCTCTCTCTCAAACTATCTTGTACTGTACTTACCCTTCTTGTGATGAAGGAACAGTGGGAGGGCAAGAGATTTCATCATGCTACTCAGAACAATGCACATCTAAAACTTATGAATTGTTTACTTCTGGAATTTTCTGTTTACTGTCTTTGGGCTGAGGTTGACCATGGGTAACGGAAACCACGGAAAACTAAGCTATGGATAAGTGGCTGTAATTGATATTTTTATCTGTCTTCTCTCCCACCAGAATGTGAACCCAAAGGTCATGCCTCACTGACCTTTTTATCTCCAATATCTGGCACAAAGTAGGGGGTCTGCAAATGTTTGTGAAATGAATGACCTCCTCTAATTCCAGAGCCCTGCCATCTCCATTCTTCCCCCTTTCACTACACACCCCCCTTTCCCACATTAAAATTCTGCTTCAGCAGCAGGCTTCCAGGGCTCTCTTTAGATTAGACATTCTTGCCCACACACATTACCTAGATATCTCTTGGCCTCCCTCCACACACACACAATTTTGGGGGGAAGAACAAAATTCCATTTCTATAAAGCTGGCAAAATCTAATTCATCCTGATGCCAGCCAATTTATGTTTTTGTCTTCTCAAACCAATTTCCCATTCTCCGTGTCTTTTCTATTCTGATCCTGGGGGGGTCCAAGTCTGAAGTCATTCCAAGAAGCCTCAATACAGACCATGGACTCTCTTCGGGGGTTTGCAGTGTCTTCTGTGGTGGTCACACACAATCTGAGTCCAACCTGTTACTCCCCTGCAGGAAGTGATATCTAAGAAGTCACCCACTGCCTTAGGCCTTCAGTCTCCTTACCTCTTAACAAGGGGAAAATATTTTGCCAAGTTTACCAGGCTATTTGAGGTTGAGGCAAGGTCACATAAGTACGAGTGTCTCATTAGCAAAAAGCTCTATAAAAATACTATGAAAGAGCAC
Organism: Homo sapiens; assembly: GCF_000001405.40. NCBI lineage: Eukaryota > Metazoa > Chordata > Mammalia > Primates > Hominidae > Homo > Homo sapiens. The sequence continues at coordinate 1,469,762 of NT_167244.2, forward strand.
AGGAGCCAATGTGAAAAGAGCTCCCAACAGCCAAAGCCACAGTAATTTGAGCAACAAAATTAAGTAGTATTGGATTATAAACCAAAGTATAAAATAAATGTCCCTGAGTCTACACTGAAATTAATGATTGAATAAATTAATAAATTGGGGGAAGAGAGAAACAAATCTTCCATGCAGAATAACTGCAAACAATAATATGTAGATACTTGCCCTCAAGAAGGGGGAATATAACTCTTGGCTCCCTAGGTATGGGCTGCACTTAGTGACTTCCTTCTAAAGAGGACAATACACGCAAAGAGTGGAAAAGAGACTAACTGTACAGTGGAGAAACCTGAAAAACACTATCTCACCCAAATCAATATTAAGTCATAAATCATGTTAGTACATGCCCTTGATACGATGGGATGATAATGGCAATCTACCTCTGTGGTCTTCCTCCCAGTTACCCATAAGCCCAGTCTTAGGAGAAAAACATCAAATTCCAATAGAGGGGCATCCTACAACATACACGACCAGTATTCTTCAATGCTGTCAAGGTCATCAAAACAAGTCTGAGAAACTCCCACAGCCAAGAGGAGCATAAGGAGACATGACAACTAAATGTAATGTGGTAACCTCCATGGGATCATGAAACAGAAAAAGTACTGAGGTAAAAACTAAGGAAATCTGAACACACTATGGACTTTGGTCAATAATAATGTATTGATATTGGTTAACTGCAACAAATGTACCACACTGAGGTAAGATGTTAATAACAGGGGATCCGGTTTGGAGCATGTGGGAAGTTTGTACTATCTTCTCAATTCTTCTGTAAATCTAAAAGTGTTGTAAGAAATAAAGTCTACTTAAACAATAAAATTGCAATTTTTGAAACATAAAAAGCCTATTTTTTTTAAAGGTGATTTTTTTGAACTTGGGGAAAAACATGTTAGGGATTATGATTTCAGCTAAGAGTTAAAAACAGGAGGTTAAGGCATGCATAAACGAATGTCATTCTCCCCTCTTTTGAAGTACACACAAATCGTGGGTCAAAATTTGAAATCTACTGGAGATTTGGAAGTGTGTCCCTCCCATTTACTCCACAGAGTTAAATTTACACTTTTTTTCTAAGGCCAAATAGGGAGAAAATCAGTAAGAAAAATGCTAATGAGCTGGAAGGAGTGAAAGCACAGCTCCAAGTATTTGTGGCTAAACCGGTTTACTCCGAACAAAAAAAAAAAAAAAAAAAAGAAAGAGAAAGAAAGCATGACACTTTGGTCAGGGAGCTGGATTAGTCGCCTATCTACCAGGCTCCAAGCAACCGGACGGTCATCCAGGCCCCGCTTACTTCTGGTTCCGCAGACTAGAATGGATGGGAGTCTGAGTAGGATACCAGAAAGCGAGAAAGACCCAAGAGGAGGGGGAGAATGTAAGGACAAGCAAACAGGAGGGATCTGGCTGGCAGGGAGGACGCAGCGAACTTGACCCCCTCCTGAGCCCGCCCGGGGGCCTGGCCCCGTTTTGAACCCGGGCCCGGCGGCTGCGTTGGGTCGCCCCAAACCCGGTGAGCGTACGAGACTGTTGCTTCGCTGTATGTCTCATGTGCACCCCCTACTCACCGGTCCCGAGCTCCGGGCCGCGAATCCCGGCCGGCACCCCTCCTCTCTCACGGCGGTCTGTTCCGGGTCCCGCTCCTGCACGAGCAACCAGCGCGACAGCTCGTCCCCGCCCCGTAATCTCCCGGCTATTCGGGGCCCTTCGCCGAGATTTCTCCCGGACCAGCCCCGGGATTGGCTCCTGCCGAACTTCGCCATCCAATGGGAACCTTAGTCTCTTTTACGTCACTGATCACCGGGCAAATCCCCAGACAGCCGCGGGCGGTGGGGCACCAGGGGCAGCGAAATGGAAACTGAAATCAGGCGGGACCGAGGCTGCGCCAAGAGCCGCAGCCTGAGTTTGGCGCGTAATTGGGGTGGCCTGTTACACGGTCTAAGGGAGTAAATGCTAAGGCTTAGGAGTCACCTACGTAGGACTCTTGAGAGGGCAATAATCCCCTTTCCACCTCTCGAGACCCCTCACTGCCCAACTCTGGCCTTATGCTGGATCAGGGTCCGAGGGCGCTTTGAGGCGAAGGTGGCGCTCGCCAGGTGCTCAACATTAAATACGAAGTCCCCGCCCCTAACGTGGCCTAAATTTGCTTCCAGGACAAAGCAGGATTTTAGCAAGCAAATACTCTCAGAGACCTATTTACGAAAATTATTACTTCCTAGGTAAAATAACGTTCAACCAGACAGCCATTGTCGCCATTCGACGGAAGGAAAAACTGAGGTTCCAGGAGCTTAAGGGTCTGGGCCCAGTTCAGGGGGGTTGTTTTCGCTCCTCGACGCTGAATTTAGAAACCAGAGGCTACAAAGCGGGCCGAGACTTGGGTTCCCCAGGTCCTTGGTGGGGAGGTTTCCAGGAGGCTCGGGCGCGCCCCCGTCCACGGCCCCGGAAGCTGACGTCGCCGAAGCGTACGCCGCTGCCCAGCCTGCGCTCTCTTCCTGCTCTGCCTGCAGCCGCCGCGTCCGGTCCAGCCGCAGGGCCATGCCCTGTGCTGCGGTTGCCGTGTCCCAGGCGCCGCCGCGTCAAGATCCCCGTCTTTCCCGGCCAGCCAGGCGGCAGCGGCATTCAGCTCGTGCACTGGGCTGGCAGCAGGCTGAGAAGAGGCGGCGCAGGTTCTCCGGGTCAGCCAGTGCCCTGCTCCTAAGGGTAGAGATCTAGCTGGGGACACTGGTCGTCCGCCTAGGCAGTGGTGAGAGGGTGGGCTACAGTTGTTTGGGTATTCATGAATGGAGGAGCTCAGGGTCCTAGACCCTAAAACCTGCTGAATCTTCACCCCTCCTCCGCTGGGGGTAGGGAAATTTGCACTGCATTTAAGCAATGTATAGTGGAGTGGGTGGGACATTCAGAAGAAACCACGCCCACATTTAACACCCGCGTCCTTCCCTTCTACCCCAGCCCAGCATTTTGTCTTTTTCCCCTTTGTCCAGCAGTATAACTCACGCTGCCCCTCCGGGCTGAGAGGAGTGTAGACCTCACCTGCTGAGCACAACTCTGGCGGGCCTGTGCTCTGGAGGTGGTCTCAGCACCTACCTAGACCCTCTTGATACCTGCTTTTTTAGTTGGTGGTGTGGGAAGAAAGTGTGTTTAACATGCTCCTTAAATAATGCTCTGCCGCCGAGCGCGGTGGCTCACGCCTGTAATCTCAGCACTTTGGGAGGCCGAGGTGGGCGGATCACGAGGTCAAGAGATCGAGACCATCCTGGCCAACATGGTGAAACCCCGTCTCTACTAAAAATACAAAAATTAGCCGGGCGTGGTGGCGCGCACCTGTAGTCCCAGCTACTCAGGAGGCTGAGGCAAGAGAATCGCTTGAACCCGGGAGGCGGAGGTTGCAGTGAGCCGAGATCGCCCCACTGCACTCCAGCCTGGGGACGGAGCGAGACTCCGTCTCAAAAAATAATAATAAAATAAAAAATAATGCTGTGCCACTAAGCGTTTTCTCCCTGTCCTGAGGTCTTTGGCCTATTCACAGACCATTCTGGGCAGACTCCAGCCACAAATCCACCACCCCACTTAAAATTCTCTATCCTCTCAGCACACTTAGAGGGGCATGGAAGACTCTTGCAGGGGCTGGGGCTCCTGACATGACAGCTCTGCTTAACTCTCTGACCTCCCTCATGCCACTTCTCCCTCGGTCCCTGTGCTTTCACCTTACACCTGGTCTTGAAACTCCCTGCCCCAGCCCCTTGCATGGCTGCCCGCTTCTTGTCAGTCATGTCTACATCTCAGAAAGGTCTTCCTCCCTCACCCAGTTGAAACCAGTTCCCCATCATGCATTATTCTGTTTCCCTTTCTTCATGCATTTGTTGCCATTTGAAAGCACCTTGTTCATTTCTTTGTCAATGTGTTTATTTTCGATCTTCCTCCCCCTCAGTGTACGCCCCAAGAGAGTTGAGACAACACCTGTCTTCCATGCACATGGCTTCCATGTAAATAAATGTTTGTTAAATGAAATGAGCTCAGTGTGGGCATTTCTTTTTCTTTTTGTAAAAAAATTTTATTATTATTACACTTTAAGTTTTAGGGTACATGTTCACAACGTGCAGGTTTGTTATCATTTAGCATTAGGTATATCTCTCCTAAAGCTATCCCTCCCCCCTCCCCCCACCCCACAACAGCCCCTGGTGTGTGATGTTCCCCTTCTTGTGTCCATGTGTTCTCATTGTTCAATTCCCCAGTGTGGGCATTTCTAAAGCTGCCTGGCCCTGCTTGGCTGGGTATCAGTCATGCACTGAGTCCCTCTCCCACCACACTACATCTTGATTGATACAGCTTCTCAAGTCCAAGTAAGGGTAACAGAAATGGATGCTGGGAACACAATTTCTGCTTTGTGTTGGAGGAGACAGCTTTGGAGCAGCTTTGTAGCTTTGTGCCCCTCTACAGCTTCCTGCTTCATTTAAGGTTCTGAAGCAGAGTTGAAATTCCTTCCTCCAGCTCTCCATTTCTGTGGTCATACCAGATGGAGGCCAAGGCAGCATATGGGGCTGGGTAAGAGTTCTGCGTTGAATTCTCCAGTCTGCCACATTCTGTGAGGCTTTGGGGCAGCTGCTCAACCTCTGTGTGCCACAGGTTCTTCTTCTGTAACATGGAAGTAGCTAGATCTGCTTCGTACGGTTATTATGAGGCTTAAATGTAAAGCTTTGAAATAGTGAATCAGTGCTGACTAGGCCAAAGGGTATGGTATAATTATTTGCATTTGAAATAAATATCTTAAATGGAGCAAGAAGATTTAGTAGGTATATTCCTTGAGCAGCTCTGGTTTAACCTCAGGAGGAACTAAAGGCCGCTGTCTAAAAATGAGTTTGTATATGACAGGGTACAGGAAATGCCACCCCAAAATATGGCACCTTGGAAATTGAGAAAATAGCAGAAACAGGAAGGTTTCTCTGACCTCTTGCTCCTTTCTGCCCTGAAGCAGGCCATAGAAACTAGAGTTCCCCTCGCCCCTTCTTCCCTGAAGCAGGCCACAAAATCTAGGAAGGTCACTCTCTGACCTGCTCCCTCCTTCTCCCTCCTTCATCTGAGGCCCCTTATATAACAGGCATCCTCTCCTATGCCCTGAGGGAGGGACTGCCACACAGGTATGCCAAGAAGAAACTGAATAGACAGGCCTTTCCAACTTCTCAGTTTATCACCGTTAGCTCATACACTTTTGTCCTTGCAATCATACATCTGCCTGACTGTCTATACAACTACACAAATGTCCCCATTTCTTTGGGTTTTCGTTTCTGAAAGTTCCCATGTCATGTAAAACTTGGATAAAATAAATGTGCATGCTTTTCTCTTGTTAGTCTGTTTTTTGTTATTGAAGTCTCAGCATAAACCTTGTGATGGGTAAGGAAAATATATTAGTTTTTTTCCCCTAAGTTTAGTATAAACATATTGAGCTAAATCATACCATTCAGAATCTCAGGATTTTAAGAATACTAGAGTGCTTGGAAAGAGGCCTCCAAACAAAAAACAAACAAACAAACAAACAAAAACTTGAAAACATGAAACTCCCATTGGTAAAGATGCAAAGAATCTGTTTGAATCTTTTGTGTGAAGGATACCTTGGTATTAGGGCCAGAATGAATAAATGAATATCTGTAAAGGAAAAGGTAAAAGTTACATCAATGAAACAATTTTAAGCCAACATTTCTGTTTTCTGGTAGAGGCATAAGCTAATAAATAATTCTGTGCTACTAAAATCTGCCTGCTTTTGTGCTAAGAACTGGCTGCAGGATAAAAAATAACAGGTTTAACTGTCCTTTTTAAAAGGAAAAAAAGGCATTTTGAATGCTAATAGCATTAACTACTGGGTTTTGAACAGAAAGCGTAGGCTGAACCAATCTCTTATATGACTTGGGATGTCATTTAAAATACTTTGTATTCCAAATTTGGTGACTTTTAAATGTCTATTAGCTCAAAAGTTAGTGAAAATATATTGTATAATATATAATGACAAATTCAACTTAAAAAAAATTTTTTTTTTTTTTTTGAAACAGGGTCTCACTCTGTCACCCAGGCTAGAGTGCAATGGTGCAATCATGGCTCACTACAGCCTCGACCTCCTGAGCTAATGCAATTCTCCCACCTCAGCCTCCTGAGTAGCTGGGACAGATGTGTGCCACCATGCCCGGCTAATTTTTGTATTTTTTGTACAGACAAGGTCTGGCCATGTTGCCCAGGCTGGTCTCAAACTTCTGGACCCAAGCAATCCTCCTGCCTTGGCCTCCCAAAGTGCTGGGATTACAGGCTTGATACAACGCGCCCGGCCGACACTGTAGCATTTTCTAATAGGCCTACGTAAAAATTATCTAATTCTCTAGGGTAGTTTAACTTTGATTTAGTATTTTAGGGTATTTAGAGTACTCCTTAGGGGTAGACATTAACTTGTAGAAAAGTGATATCAATGGAAATGATTCTTGGTCAATAGCAATGTCAATGAATTTTGTTCAGTGGAGGTATAGAAGATGTATGTCCAGTGTATGTATATTCAATCTTCCAAATTCTCTTTGAACTAGTTCTTTTTTTACTAGTCTCTTGTTAGTACATCTTTGATACATGCTCACTTTTTCTTTGTATAGGATACTGTCATTGACTTTTAAAAATTATATTTTGGCAATACATTGCATTTTATTATTATGTCTCTTAATCTTATTATAACAATCTACCCTTCCCTTATTTTCATTCCATTAATTTGCTGGAGAAGCCAGTTCATTTATCCCATAGAATGTTCCCAGTACTGGATTTGGTTGATTGCTTCCTCATGGTATCAATTAACTTGTTCCTCTATTTCCTGTGTATCTTAGATAAGATTCATAAGATAATAAAGGATGCTATGTAGTCATCTCTCATTCTAAGCAATCAAACATTTTCAATATCTTTCACCATATGTCCCTAACCCAGATACTACTAGTCCGTCTCTCTCTGCTATAGAGGTAAGCATCACTCTGCATTTCTGTGATAATCATTCCTTAGCTTTTATTTTTATTTACTTAAAAGGCTTTATCAGATTTGGGGTTTTTGTTTGTTTGTTTTTGAGATGGAGTCTCGCTGTCATCCAGGCTGGAGTGCAGTGGTGCAATCTCGGGTCACTGCAACCTCTGCCTCCTGGGTTCAAGTGATTCTCCTGCCTCAGTCTCCTGAGTAGCTAAGATTACAGGTGCCCGCCGCTATGCCAGGCTAATTTTTGTATTTTTAGTAGAAACGGGGTTTCACAATGTTGGACCAGGCTGGTCTCAAACTCCTGACCTCAGGTGACTCGCCTGTTTCGGCCTCCCAAAGTGCTGGGATTGCAGGCGTAAGCCACCACTCCCGGCTGGGTTCAATTTTTTAAGGAGAATACTTCAAAAGCAGTGCTGTGTACCTATGGTATCACATTTAGAGGTATATGATCTCATCCCACTATTAGTGATGGTAGATTTGATGGAAGATTCAGGTATTGTCAGCCTGATCCCTCCATTCCCCAGTTTGTGAGTTATGGATTTACTGCCTCTCAGCTCCAAAAATGATCCTGAATCTTTTAATTATGTTTTCTTTGCCATCTGGCCCTGAAGCTTTGTCAGTAGAGGGCACTGGAGAGTCATTGCAGGGAAAAACGATTTTGCTTCCTGGTTCTGGTGTGCTGTTTGCCAGGTTCCTGCAGTGAGTGCATGGTTTAGCAGCACCTGCTCCTGCAGCACCCAAAACTTACCTAGTGTCCAGTTACTTCAGTCACAGTCAGCAACACCCAGCAGTAAGCAGCTTCCTTAGGCACCCCTCCTGAAGGGGTTTTATACTGGAGTGTCTCTGGTATGAACAGCTTTTGCCTGCACCCTAGAGAGTGGGTTTCCAGCAAGTTCTGCCATAGCAGAACCACCTTGATGTCTCTACTCTCCCTGAGAAGGCTAGATCCCATCCTCTCTTGTTTTCTCAAAAATGGACTAACCATCTATAAATATCTACTCTCCTGCTTCAGCAAATTTTTTTTACCGTTTCACTGAATTATTCTCATGAGCATACAAACATGTTATAATATATCGCTTTAAAAACCAAAACAAGACAAACTCCTTGATACCATAAGTTTTTTTGTTTTTGTTTTTGTTTTGTAGAGTTTTGCTCTTGTTACCCAGGCTGGAAAGCAATGGCACGATCTCAGCTCACTGCAACCTCCGCCTCTGGGTTTCAAGTGATTCTCCTGCTTCAGCCTCCCCAGTAGCTGGGATTGCAGGCGCCCCCCACCACCACTCCCGGCTAATTTTGTATTTTTAGTAGAGACGGGGTTTCACCATGTTGGCCAGGCTGGTCTTGAACTCCTGTCCTCAGGTGATCCACCACCCCCCTCCCCGCCCCACCCCGGCCTCCCAAAGTGCTGGGATTACAGGCGTGAGCCACTGCGCCTGGCCAGTAACATAAGTTTTTAAAAGGTTTTTGCTTCAGGTACTCTCCTATTTTCCTGCTCCACATTTACAGCAAAATTAGAAAATATTGTCTGTACCTGCCCTCTGTTTCCTTTTCTCTCCTTCTTTAATCAAAAACTGTGAAATATATATTCAAAAGTGTACATATAATCCATATACACATTTTAAAGTATTGATGAGATAATAAAGGATGTTATGTAATCATCGGTCACTCTAAGCAATCGAATATTTCCAATATCTTTTATTACGTGCTCCTAACCAATAGATCACTCTCCCTCTCTCTTTGCTAGAGCTGCATTTTTTTGTGATAATCATTCCCTAGCTTTTATTTTTATTTTTATTTTTTGAGACAGAATCTCGCTCTGTCACCCAGGCTGGAGTGCAGTGGCGCAATCTCGGCTCACTGCAACCTCCGCCTCCTGGGTTCAAGCGATTCTCCTGCCTCAGCCTCCTGAGTAGCTGGGACTACAGGCACGTGCCACCACTCCCAGCAAATTTTTTTGTATTTTTAGTAGAGACAGGGTTTCACCGTGTTAGCCAGGATGGTCTCAATCTCCTGACTTCGTGATCCGCCCCATCAGCCTCCCAAAGTGCTGGGATTACAGGCGTGAGCCACCGCACCCAGCTTTTATTTTTATTTTTAAGAGATTAGGTTTCAGTCAGTCATCCAGGCTGGAGTGCAGTGGCACAATTATAGCTCACTGCAGCATGTGAACTCCCGAGCCCAAGGGATCTTCCCACCTCAGCTACAGGCTCATACCACCACACCTAGTGAGCTTTTCTTTTCGTTTGGTTTCACTTCTTTTTCTTTCCTTTTTTCTTTTTTTTTTTTTTTTTGAGACAGAATTCCGCTCTTGTCACCCAGGCTGGAGTGCAATGGCGTGATCTCTGCTCACTGTAGCCTCCGTCTTCCAGGTTCAAACAATTCTCCTGCCTCAGCCTCCCAAGGTAGCTGGGATTACAGGTGCCCGCCACCACGCCCAGCTAATATTTTTGTATTTTTAGTTGAGACGGGGTTTCACCATGTTGGCCAGGCTAGTCTTGAACTCCTGACCTCAGGTGATCCACTTACCTCAGCCTCCCAAAGTGCTGGTATTACAGGTGTGAGCCACCGCGCCCGGTCCCAGTGAACTTTTCTTCTTATTATTATTTTTGTAGAGATGGTGTCTAGCTATGTCGCCCAGGCTTGTCTCAAACTCCTGGCCTCAAGCAATCCTACTGCCTCAACCTCCCATAGTTCTAGGATTAAAGACAAGCCACCACACCGGCCATCCTAGCTTTTCTTTTTATTTATTTATTTATTTATTTATTTTTTATTTTTTAGTGTTTATTGATCATTCTTGGGTGTTTCTCGGAAAGGGGGATGTGGCAGGGTCATAGGATAATAGTGGAGAGAAGGTCAGCAGATAAACACGTGAACAAAGGTCTCTGGCTTTCCTAGGCAGAGGTCCCTGCAGCCTTCCACAGTGTTTGTGTCCCTGGGTACTTGAGATTAGGGAGTGGTGATGACTCTTAACGAGCATGCTGCCTTCAAGCATCTGTTTAACAGCACATCTTGCACCGACCTTAATCCATTTAACCCTGAGTGGACACAGCACATGTTTCAGAGAGCGCGGGGCCGGGGGTAAGGTTATAGATTAACAGCATCCCAAGGCAGAAGAATTTTTCTCAGTACAGAACAAAATGGAGTCTCCTGTGTCTACTTCTTTCTACACAGACATAGTAACAATCTGATCTCTCTTTCTTTTCCCCACATTTCCCCCTTTTCTTTTCCACAAAACTGCCATTGTCATCATGGCCCATTCTCGATGGTTGCTGTCTCTTCGGAGCTGTTGGGTACACCTCCCAGACGGGGCAGCCGGGCAGAGGCGCTCCTCACTTCCCAGACGGGGCGGGTGGGCAGAGGTGCTCCTCACATCCCAGACGATGGGCGGCCAGGCAGAGATGCTCCTCACTTCCCAGACGGGGCAGCTGCCAGGCAGAGGCGCTCCTCACTTCTCAGATGGGGCGGCTGGGCAGAGGCGCTCCTCAGTTCCCAGACGGAGTGGCGGCCGGGCAGAGGCGCTCCTCACATCCCAGACGGGGCGGCCGGGCAGAGGAGCTCCCCACTTCCTAGATGGGGTGGCAGCCAGGCAGAGGCTGTAATCTTAGCACTTTCGGAGGCCAAGGCAGGCGGCTGGGAGGTGGAGGTTGTAGCGAGCTGAGATCATGCCACTGCACTCCAGCCTGGGCAACATTGAGCACTGAGTGAGCGAGACTCCGTCTGCAATCCCAGCACCTCGGGAGGCCAAGGCGGGCAGATCACTCGAGGTCAAGAGCTGGAGACCAGCCCGGTCAACACGGTGAAACTCCGTCTCCACCAAAAATACAAAAACCAGTCAGGCATTGCAGCGCATGCCTGCAATCCCAGGCACTCGGCAGGTCAAGGCAGGAGAATCACGGGAGCCCAAGGCAGGGAGGTTGCAGCAAGCTGAGATCATGGCAGTACAGTCCAGCCTCTGCAACAGAGGGAGATCCAAGGGAAAGGGGGAGAGGGAGAGGGAGAGGCCAAGGCCTAGCTTTTCTTTATACTTCCTTGATACATGTATGTATCCCTAAACAGGATATTGTCTAGTTTTGCCTATTTTTAAACTTTGTATACGTGGAATTGTAATGTATGTGTTCTTCTGTGACTTGTCTTTATTTCTGAGATTCACCATCTTGATGCATATAGCTTTGGCTTGTTCATTTTCACTGCTGTGTGGTATTCCAAATTTGAAAGTCCCATGTTTTTTTCTTCTCCATTTTACTATTCTTAGAACTTGGTTTGTCTTCATAGTTTTGCTGTTATGACCAATGATGCTATGAACATTCTCATACATGTACCCTGGCACATACCTGCAAGACTTTTTAGAATATGTAACTAGTAATGAAATTTCTGAGTCTTAGAATGTGGTTGCAGTATATATAGTGTTACTTTGTGAGGGGAGACTATTTCCCAGGGGTTGTATAATCTACATTCCCTTTAGTGGCAGATGAAATTCCCATTAAACCACATCTGCAACTTCACTTGGAATTGTCAGACTTTTGACTTTTTGCCATTTTGATGTGTGTGAAATGTTATCGCATTTGGTTTTAATGTGCATTTTCCTAATTATTAATGAAGCTGAGCATTTTTCTTTTCTTTCTTTTTTCCTTTTTTTTTTTTTGGCCAGTTGTATTTCTCTTTCTGTATAGTGTCTTTTATGTTTTTTATACTTTCTTCTATTGGCTATTTTTAGTTTTCTTTTGGATTTGTTACCAAAATGCCAAGGGTTTGGTCTAGGTTGCTCACTGCACAGTAAGCCAATCACTGAGACAACAAGTATTGTGAGGGAAGAAGGCTTTATTCAGGTGTTGCAACCGAGGAGATTGGAGATCAGTCTTAACTCTGTCTCCTCTTTTCAACAGATTAAAATTAAGGGTTTATAGAGCAGGGAAGAAAGGTAACTACATATGGGAAAACAGGAATTAGGGAGGGGTAAGGAAGAGGAGTTGGTCAACAGGCAGCCTGGGGTCAGTTAGGCAGTCATGAAGGGTGAGGGGTCTGGTGTCTTAGCAGATGCAGTGAAAGGTAAGTTTCAGTTTCCTGATACTACCAGGGAGCCCTGATCATCAATTTCCTGAGAAAGGAACTCAGATAAGACAAATGTAAGTTTCTCAAGTTTTAAGACTTGTAGGGTAAATTTCTATGTTTATTAAAAGAAAAAAAACATAATCAGTCCTATGGGACAAATGGGTTGGTTTCAGATTTATGGGAAATATTTGTTTTTTGTATATTCTGGACACTAATTCCTTGTTGGTTATATGTGTTACAAACATCTTCTTGGAGTTTCTGGCTTGTTGTTTCTCTCTATGTCATCTTTTGAGAAGAGAGAAGCATTTGTTTTTTCATTCTAAAGTAGCTAAACGTATCAATCTTTATGTTTTGGACTCTTGGTCTAGTTTAATAAGTCCTACCTTGTCTTGAGATTACAAAGATAATCTATATTATTGACTAAATATTTTTCAGTTTAGCTGCTATAGACTGAATGCTTGTGTCCCTCCTAAAATTCACATGTTAAAACCTAATCCTCAGTGTGATGGTATTTGGAGGTGGGGCCTTTGGGAGGTGATTAGGTCATGAGATCAGAGCACTACTGAATGGGATTTGTGCCCTTATGACAGAGACCCCAAAGAGCTCCCTTGTCTCTTCCACCATGTGAAGACACAATGAGAAGTTAGCAGTCTGCAACCCAGAAGAGAACATTCATCTGAAACTGACTGTGCACCCTGAGCTCAGACTTCCCCTACCTCTAGAACTATGAGAAATAAGTGGTTGTTATTTAAGCCACCCAGTCTATGGTATTTTTGTCATAGAGGCCTGAACAACTGAGACATTTGCCTTTCATATGTAAATCTTTATATATCTGGAATTAATTTTTGTGTTTAGAGCAAAATATATATTTGTTTCCCCTTTTTTCCATATGGTTAACTAATTATCTCAGTGTGATCTAATGCACAGCCTCTAATTTTCCCCACTGTTTTACACTGCAAGCTCTGTCATATGTTATATATCCATCCATGCCTTCACCAATACTCATTGAGCATCTACTTTATGCTAAGTGCTCTTCTGGGTCCTGGGAATAAAGCAGTGACAAAACAGACAAAAATCCCAGTGGAGCTTGTGTTCTGTTGGAGGAAGGCAAACCACGAACAAAGTAATAAAAAATTTGTAATACTCCGGATGCAGTGGCTCACACTTGTAATCCCAGCACTTTGGGAGGCCGAGGCGGGTGGATCACGAGGTCAGGAGATCAAGACCATCCTGGCTAACATGGTGAAACCCTGTCTCTACTAAAAATACAAAAAATTGGCTGAGCGTGGTGGCACACACTTGTAGTCCCAGGTACTTGGGAGGCTGAGGCAGGAGAATCGCTTGAACCTGGGAGGCAGAGGTTGCAGTGAGCCAAGATCCTGCCACTGCACTCCAGCCTGGGCGACAGAGCAAGATTCAGTCTCAAAAAAAAAAAAAATTTGTAATATTAGATGGTGGTAGGTACTATGAATTAACACAAACCAAGAAGGGGAACAGGGAGTGGGGAGAAAATATTACAATTTTAAATAGGGAGGTTAGAGAAGTCCTTACAGAGAAAGTGATATTTCAGCAAATGCCTGAAAGAGGTTAGAGAGCCAGCTTTGAGAATATCTGAGAGAAATGTGTTCTAGGCAACGGGAAGAGTCTGCACAAAGGCCTTGAGGCAGAAGCATGCCTAGCAAGTATAAGGAGCAGTAGGGATGCCAGTGTGTCTGGACCAGAGTGAAGGAGGGGTGAAGTGCAGGACATGAGGTCATCAGGTGAAGTGCAGGACATTAGCTCAACAGAAGTGAGCGGGTCCAGGCTGGGTAGGACCATGTGGCCCATTCTAAGGACTTTGATTCTACTTTGAGTGAGATGGATGGCACTAAAAGGACAAAGGACTGATAGGCTCTGACTATAGGCTTTAACTCATGTTTTAATTTCTCTGGCTCCTCTGTTGAAAATAGAACCAAGGAAACAAGAATGGAGGTAGCAACATCTGTCAGAAGGCCATTGAAATAAACTAGGCAAGTGATGATGGGGGTTGTGGGAAATAGTCAAGTTCAGAATACATTTGAAGATAGAATTAACACAATTAGGTATGGTGTGATAGGAACAATAGAGACAAGGATTATGCCCAGGTGTTTGGCTTAAGCAACTGGAAGGATGCTGAGATGGGAAAGACTTGATAGAGGGTAGGGGCGTGGGCAGGGACAGACCAGGGGAGAGGATTTGGATCTGATTTTGGATATGCTAATTTTGAGATGTCTATTAGACATGCAAAATGTAGACCAGACTCTCGACTCATTTAAACTACTATTAGTGGCTAGCCTTTTCTCTTACCTTCCAGATTTCTGGGCAACACTCCACTCTTCCTGATGCACACTCTTGCGTTGCAGCCTGGGACTCTACATTTCAAGCAAGATATTCTTACACATAACAAAGCTTGAAAAGCATTGCTTTAAGCTTTCCTTTGTCTCTCCAAGTACCTCCAAATGTGTATTTAATGCTTTTATAATCAGAAAAGTGTTACAAAATCAAATACCCAAAAAAAATTCCCTATTTTCACAGCATACCATACAACTACTTTCTACAGAGTTTCCAACATTTTGCAGTAAAATCATTGTTCACAATTTTTTTGGGTCACAGTTTTTGGCAAATGAAGCATGGTATAGGATGCCTGGGACTGTGGAGTTTCCCAGGACACAGGACTTTCCACGCAAAACCAGAAAGGTTCCGGACAAACCAAGAAGAGTTCTTCACCCCAGACGTGTGAAACCAGTGGCAAAGTGCCTGCTTTAGGGAAGGCAGCATGGGACAGTGAATCAGAGTGGACACTGAACCTGGGTCCATTTGTGGAAGGTGGTCCTGTTACAGGAAAGAGGTCCCAATCCAGACCCCAAGAGAGGGTTCTTGGATCTCGTGCAAGAAAGAATTCAGGGCAAGTCTGCTGGAGTGCACAGCAAAAGCAAGTTCAGTGGTGAAAGAAGAGCTAACCCATAGACAGAGTAGGGCATTCCAGAAAGTAAGAGGAGGAACGCGTCCACCCTAGGTACAATGCTTATATATATATCTTTATATATATATCATATATATATATGATAAAAGAAGATCATGGGAAGATGTGCTCTGCTACAAGAGTTTGTGATAAAGGATTAATTTCCTTAATTACTATGTTTTGCAAGAATCAATATTATTATCTTTAAAGCAAAATTAGAAGTGCCTTTGTTCTCCAGGTGTCAGGATTATCTGGACATTGCTAAATCTGGGTCAGTTTAGTAAACTTTTTTTTTTTTTGAGACAGAGTCTCCCTCTGTTGCCCAGGCCAGAGTGCAATGGCACAATCTTGGCTCACTGCAACCTCCGCCTCCTGGGTTCAAGCGATTCTTCTGCCTCCATTTCCCGAGTAGTCGGGACAGGCACATGTCACCACACCCAGCTAATTTTTGTATTTTTAGTAGAGACGGGTTTCACAATATTGGCCAGGCAGGTCTCGAACTCCTGACCTTGTGATCCACCCACCTCGGCCTCCTGAAGTGCTGGGATTACAGGTGTGAGCCACCTTTCCTGGCCTAGTAAATATTATTAATCTATTCCCTTAACCATAAATGTCTAGAGGCTAGGAATACCTATATTTCTGGAAATGCACCCCGCCAAGTTGCAGCCTCATTTTCCTAGCTCTCACTCAAAATGGCGTCGCTCTGGTTGGAATGCCTCTGACAGTCTTTATGAATGATAAAAGAGTGTAGTCAATCATAAAGCTCTGACTCACTCCCAGTTTGCCCTTTCCTTCCTAGAGAATGTCTTTCAGGCTCTTCCTCCCCTCAGAAGCTTTCAACATCCACTCCATTCCCCTAAACTGGGGACCGAGGACATTGCAGCTTCTTTGGTGCTTCTAGGGACCAGAACATAGCTTCTTTTAGTTATGGATTAGGTTTTTATTGCTGCTGTAACAAATTACCACAAACTTAGCTGTTTAAACAACACGAATGTATTCTCTTACACTTCTGCAATGTCGTTGGTGGGCCAGATTCAGATTCTGGGCCACACAAAAGAATTTGAGAGTGAGTCCAAAATAAGACTAGGCAAAGGAGTTTATTGCAAAGTGAAAGTACACTCTGAGAGGCAGAGTGGGCTGCTCAAAGCTAGCTCAAAGCTAGAGGCAGTAGTTAGTGCCTTAAGGGGAATTTCCTTTGTGGAAACTGTACATACATATTAATAAAATACTGGTGAGATCAAGTAAGCAAAGGCAGACCTGTGGTTAGCACATGAGCTACTTGGTCTAACACGCATCCCATGTATCATTAGCGTATAAAATCCCCACGTGGTGGTGTGTTTTTTGCTATTACAATGAGGAAAAGGTCACCATAAGCTAAACCTTGAGCCTAGCTGTGTATGCAAGACCCTGGAGAATTTCCCAGTCACACCTCCACCCACCCCAACCAAGGCAGGAATTTGTAGCTAATAGCTTCTTGGGCTTTTGGTGCTGATTGGCTGGAGATGGGTAGCTACATCATGAACAAAGGGCTTTCGTTCTCTTTCCCAGGCTGTATAGGGTATCAAGAACTTGTAACCACCTGGCAGAATCCTGCAGGACTGCTTGTCTTGCAAAAGACTTCAGTGCTGATGCAGGAGGGTGCAAGTGAAAAGAATTCACTGTAAAAGGAGCCGTGGGGCTTCACACATGGGACAAGTTAGTATGGCCTCCTAACCTTACTTATCTTGCCTCAGTAGGTCAGAGGTCTGAAACAAGTCTCAATGGGCTAAAATCAAGTTGTCAGTGTGGTTGCATCTCTTTTTGAAGGCTTTAGGGGAAAATTTGTTTCTGTTCATTCTGGTTGCTTGCAGAACTCAATTCCTTGTAGTTGGAGGACTAGGTTCCTGTCTTTTTACTGGCTTTAAACAGAGCTGTTAACAGCTCAAAGGGCTGTAGAATTCCTTGGCTCATAGCCTCTTTTCTCTGTATTCAAATCCAACAACAGTTGGTTATGTCCATCTCATGTCCTATCTCTCTGAGCTACATTCTGCTTCTTCTTCTTTCCACTTTTATTAAAGATTGGTGTGATTAGATTGGACCTCATACGGCCTAATAACCTCCCTTTTTACAAAGTCAACTGATTAGCAACCTTAATTCTCTTTTGCCATATAACATAATATAGTCAGGTTCTAGGGATTAGGACATGGACATCTTGGGGATAGGGACATTCTTCTGCCTTCTACAAGTTATATGGGATATATTGAACCTCTAATATGTGCCAGGTGCTATCATAGGTTCTGGTGATACAGTAATGAACCAAACAAAGGCCCCAACCTTCATGAGTTTATGTCTCAGTGAAATCCCATATGCAATACTATGAATGTATCTCTTTATTTTTTAGTACACCTTAAAAATAGCTTTATTGAGTCCAACTGATATTCAATAAACTGCACATATTTATGTTTTTCGTGCTCTCTCAAGATGTGGAACAAAAAAATAGCACACATATTTTTGTACCTGCCTGGTAAAAATTCCCAAAGCTTTGCTTAATTCTATTCAGGTTGTTGAACAAAATTTACATTAGCAACAAATACCAGGGAATGAAAATAATGCACTTTTGTTGATAAAGTAACAGATTTTGCCTGGTTGTCTTTGGAGCCGTCATGCTCTGTGTGTGTTTCTGCTTCCAGATTTCTTTTTTTTTCTCTCCAACTTTTATTTTAGGTTCAGGGGTACATATGCAGGTTTGTTACATGAATAAATTGTGTGTCACAGGGGTTTGTTGTACAGATTATTTCATCACCCAGGTAATAAGCGTAGTACCTGATGGGTAGTTTTTTGATCCTCACCCTCCTTCCACCCTCCATCCTCAAATAGACCTCAATGTCTATTGTTCCCTTCTTGGTGTCCTTGTATACTCAATGTTTAGCTCCCACTTATAAGTGAGAACATGTGATGTTTGGTTTTCTGTTCCTACATTAATTTACTTAGGATAATGGCCCTCCAGTTCCATCCATATTGCTGCAAAGGACACTATCTCATTCTTTTTTATGGCTGCATAGTATTCCATGGTGTATATGTACTACATTTTCTTTATTCAGTCTACAGTTGATGGGCAGTTAAGTTGGTTCCACGTCTTCACTATCGTAACTAGTAAACTGCATGTATTTAAAGTATATAATCTGATGAGTTTTGACATAGGAATCCACCTGTGAAATCATCACCACAATTAAAATAATGAATATATCTGTCACCCCCCATAGCTTTTCCCTGCTCCTTTGAATTCAACCCATCCTATAATCCATCCCCAGGCAAATACTGGTCTGCTTTCTGTCACTATAGGTTGGCTTCCTTTTTTAGAATTTTACATAAATGAACTCATAATATGTACTCTATTTTTGTCTAGATTCTTTCATCCAGCATAATTATTTTGTGATTAATCTATGTTGTTGAGTGTATAAATAGTCCATTCCTTTTTATTGCCATATAGTAGTTTATTGTATGGATGTACTACAATGTGTCTATTCATTCAAATGTTGATGGAAATTTAGATTGTTTCCAGTGTTGCCTGCTTCTTGTTGCATTTAGCAAAATATTATAAGAAAGTGCAAACTCAGGCAAGAAATGACCAGATTGCAAGCAGAGATTGAAGGAAATAGAGTCCAGAGATGTGAGTCTTTACAAGATTGAGAAATGCTTTTATATTTCAGATAACAGGAAATATGGCTTTAGTTGCTTGTGTTAGGCCAAATAATGACTGTCCCCCCACCAAAATGTCCACATTCTAGTCCCCAGAATCTGTGAATATGTTACCGTACATGGCAAAAGGGACTTTGCAAATGCAATTAAGGACCTTGAGATGAGGAGATCATCCTGAATTATTCCAGTGGGCCCAATTTAATCACATGAGTCATTAAAAGCAGAAGATCTTTCCCAGCTGCAGTAAGAGAGAGACATGTGATGATGGGACAAAGGGTCAGAGAGATGTGTTATATTGCTGATTTTGAAGGTGGAGAAACAGGGCCATAAGCCAAAGAATGCCAGCAACCTCTAGAAGCTGAAAAAGGCAAGAACACAGATTCTCCCTGTGAGCCTCTAGAAGTAATGTGGTCCTACTGATACCTTGATTTTAGCTTAGCGAAACTAGTGTTGGTTTTCTGACTTACAGAACTGTAAGATCATAAATTTCTATTATAAATATATAATATATATTATATTATCATAAATTTATATTTATAGATTATACATTTATATTTAAGCAACTAAGTTTGTGGTAATTTGTTAAATCAGTGATAAAAAACTAATACCTTCCTCTAAGCTTTTCCCAAAGGCCTTGTATTAAGGCAAACAGAAGGACAGACGCCTAAGGAAACAATTAGATTAAAGGAGTTTTCTTCCCACTCAAAGTTGTTACCATTAAATTAAGAGTGACATGAGTCATTCAACAGAGCTTAGAACAAAAGATTTCAGAATCAGACCTAGAAAAGAACTTTGGTTGTGGTCATTGATGCATGAAACAAATAAACAAGAAGCCCTTTTAGTTTTTGAAGAAATTGTATTCCCAAGGAAGCCATAAAGCCTAACATAAAAAAGCCTGTGGTTAAGCTTAAAATAACTCATAGGCCCTCAAATTGCAACCACAGAAGTCAGGCTGCAAAATCTGTACGGGGCAATCCTAAGAAATGAGTACTCCTCACTTCTTCTTATATTGGCTATGGTAGATAATGGAGAAGAAAGAATCTTCCAGAAAGCAAAGCCAGTGGTCAGGATGACAAACAAAGGAGTTCCTCCCACAGAGAGGACCAGTGATAGTCAGATGGACTAAGCTTGGAACTTACTCCATTGAGAGGGCAAGGATAATTTAGGATTCCTACCCAGTAAGATTTAATCATTGCTGTGGGCCAATGATTGTGTGTTTCTGTTTTTTAAATAAGAGTTTCTTTTGCCATTATCCTGTTCTCACTTCACCATTGTATATTATCTGTGTTTACGTGGTAGAGGGTGATAATTTAGATTTTATTACTTTATGGGTCACTGGGCCATGAGGACTCAAGTGTATATCCAATAGAAAACTGCATGTCACCTAAAGATCCTGGATTTTGAGCTGGATGTCATAACTGGATGAGATATTTCCCTAGGGGGTGAGGTGAGTTTTTTCTAAATGTGAAAAGTAGAGTATATGTGGATTATTGGTGACCATTGCTGGTCTGTGTAATGACTTCTAACTGACCACAAAATCCATTTTCCTTCTCTCAAACAAATAAAGTATAGCTGAGACCTGGCCGGACCACATTTCCTAGCCCTCTTTGCAGTTAGATGTAGCCATGTGACTAGGGTCTTGACAAAGGAATATAAGTTGTGATAAATGAAACAGTCACCTCACAGATTAAAGAGACCTTGAACTTCAGCCCTTCTTGAAACCCTTCATCATTGGTTGAAGCAAATTGATCTTGTAATCACATGTTGAAGATAGAAGAACTTCTAATAGCATGCATCCCTAAGTGACTTCATAGAGTACAACCACTCACCATCTTGATAAACCTACCCAGGACTGTTGAGATGGAAATAAACTATTTTGTTTGAGTCATCTCATTTACAGTTTTCTCCATTATTACAGTTTTGTTTTCTACCCTAACATGCAGAATAAAATAGCTATAGGAAGAAGTAAATAGTTTTCATGTATCCAAATCAACATTTAGGTAGAAGATATAACAGAAGAAAAGATACTATTTATAATATCAACAAAAAGATAAAATACTCTGGAATGAACTTACTTTGAAATGTGTGATACCTATATGTAACAAACACTTAAATACTTTAAAAACCTGAAATATTTCTCGAATACATACATTGATCATCATAAAGTTATCATCCCTCCGGGCTAATCTTAATTTAACTTGTAAAAAATAAAAATACCAGAGGTGTTCTTTTTTTTTTTTTGAGACAGAGTTTCACTCTTGTTGCCCAGGCTGGAGAGCAACGGCACAATCTCAGCTCACTGCAACCTCTGTCTCCCGGGCTCAAGCGATTCTCCTGCCTCAGCCTCCTGAGTAGCTGCGATTACAGGCACACACCACCACCCCAGCTATTTTTTGTATTTTAGTAGAGATGGGGTTTCACCATGTTGACCAAGCTGGTCTCGAATTCATGACCTCAGGTGTTCCTCCCTCCTCAGCCTCCCAAAGTGTTGGGATTACAGGCGTGAGCCACCGTGCCCAGCCAGGTGTTCTTTTTAACTAGATAAACTGATTCAAAGATTCATATGAAAAATAAAGAAAGAATACCAACTAAACCTCAGACAAGGGGAGCTTGAGAAAAACTGGCTTTGCCAAATATGAAAACATTCTAAAGCCTCAATAACGAAAAGAATGTGATGTTGGTACATAAACAGACAGATCAATGAAAAATAAAAGGAAATCTAGAAATAGACCCAAGCATACAGTAATTTAGTGGATGATAAAAATGGGATCTCAGATCAGTGGAAAAGATAGATGACCATTCAATAAATGCTTTTGAGATAACTGGATAACTACATGGGAAATAATATTTAAAGTTGGGCACAATTCCAACTGTATAGCATGATAAACTCCAAATGGGTCAAAGTTTTCAATGAAAAAAAGGAAATATTCCTTTCTAACTTTGGAGGAGGGCTATCTAACTGTAACTCCAAATCGTAAAAGCCATAGGACAGAAAATTAATAAACTGAACTACATAAAATAAAAAGCAGTTCCGAGTAGCAGAAAATATCATAAAAAATCAAAAGACAAATGAAAAACTTATAGAAATATTTTCATGCATATCACATCCAAAGAAATGACCTCTTTAGCAATTAAAATGCACCTTAAAATTGAGAAGAAAGAGACTAGCAATCTCTGAAAGAAAAAGTAAAAAGAATTTTAACAGACAATTGTTGTTGAAATTCTGTCTGCTGAAATCCTTTTTCCTTTTTTCTGTCTCGGGAACTGTGAAGAAACTCAGAAAAGGAAACAAAAATAGTTATTAAACACATGAAAAAACACTTAACCTTGCTTTTACCAGAGGAAGAAGAAAAACTACAGGAGATATCATGTCTTTCCTGTCAGATTGGCAAAAAGTTAAAAGTTTGGCAACACCCTCTGTTGACAAGGCTATGGAGAAACAAGCACTTTGATTTATTGGTTATAGGAGTCCAGTTTGGGACAAACCTTTTGGAGGACAATTAGGCAATCAATACCTTTCAAAATTGTTTGTGAATACAGCCTTAAACCTTTCAATTTCATTTTTTGAAACTCATTCTACAGATATAATTATACACATGCAAAAATATTATGTACAAGTTTATTCAATACTGCTTGCCTTAACAAAAGATTGGAAAAATTCATGCACCTATCAATTTGAGACTAACTAAACACTCACACACACACGAACAATGGAATATTATGCAATGAAAATCTAATCACAACGCAGGAGGTCTCTGTGTGCTTTTGGTAAGATCTCCAAGATATATTGTGAAGTGAGAGAATGAGGTGAAGAACGTTGTATAACAGGCTACCTCTGTGTCAAAAAAAGAGGGAATGAAGAGTCATTATTATATTATCATGAAAAAATTGGAAGATACACAGGTAATTAACAAAAGAGATTACCTCTTTGGGGTAAGGTGTAAACTGGACAGATTGTGGACAGGATTCTGAGTGAGATCCTTCACTGTTCAGTCTCCTTTGCATCAGTAAGTGTCTCTTAAAGTAAATGGACAAGTAGAGGAATGGTGTCAGCATAATGTGGAAGCTGCATTGTGTAATATACAATTTCCCCCATATGTTAATGTTCTGCACTGAGTAATAGCAGCTGTACCAAAATAGCAGCCAAGTCCCAAACACGATTTAAGGGAGCAAGCTATGAATACAATGCTGTGCACAATGCCGTTGACTCCTTCTCCACTTTACTCATTTTAGCTACATTCTCTATCCTGAAGTGCTTACTAAGTAGTTCCCCCAATTTTCATGCACTTTTTCTGAACTATTTTGAGAATGGGAATATTAAGATGTTGCCACAGTTCCATAACAACTTGTTGCTGAGATGCCCCTTAAGAGTGGGGAAGAAAAATCCATTAGACTTTAGAATAATTCCACAAGAGCTTTCTTTTTCTACTTTAGGTGTGATTGACATGCATTTGTAGATGTGTTAGTGCAGATTGCACTTCATGGCACAAGGTCCTATTTGGAGCCATAACAGCAGCTTCTTAATGAAAGAAGGAAGGTGGCAATACAGAAAAAAAAAAATCAGGTGTTTTTTTTTAAGCAGGTGCAAAACAAACAAGCAGAAAATAACCATCCAGAGCTACCCATCTTTGTCATCTACATTTTGTGCAAAGCTTCAACTGCTTATCCTCTATAGCTTCTCATGGTGATGTCCCTCCACCTTGTCTCCATAAAGCAGCAGCTTCCATCTTTCCTTATCCCCTTGTATCTTTAGTTCCCCCTTTATTTATTTTATTTTATTTTTTCATTCTTTTAATTGTTATTTTTTTTGAGATGGAGGCTCGCTCTGTCGCCCAGGCTGGAGTGCAGTCGTGCAATCTCGGCTCACTCCAACCTCCGCCTCCCGGGTTCAAGCCATCCTCCTGCCTCAGCCTCCTGGGTAGCTGGGACTACAGGCACGTGCCACCATGCCTGGCTAATTTTTTGTATTTTTAGTAGAGACGGGGTTTTGCCGTCTTAGGCAGGATGGTCTTGATCTCCTGATATCGTGATCCACCCACCTCGGCCTCCCAAAGTGCTGGGATTACAGGCATGAGACACTGCACCTGGCCTCCTTTTTTAAATTTTTTTTGAGATGGAGTCTTGCTCTGTCACCAGGCTGGAGTGCAGTGGTGAGATCTCGGCTCACTGCAACCTCTGCCTCCCAGGTTCAAGCGATTCTCTTGCCTCAGTCTCCCGAGCAGCTGGGACTACCGGCGCGCACCACCATGCCCAGCTAATTTTTGTATTTTTAGTAGAGATGGGGGTTTCACCATCTTGGCCAGGATGGTCTCGATCTCTGGACATAGTGATCTGCCCACCTCGGCCTCCCAAAGTGCTGGGATTACAGGCATGAGCCACCCCTCAGCCTAGCTCCCCCTTTAAAAAGTCTTTCATCTATTTAGAGTTTAACAAGTCTTTTTTTTTTCTCTTTAAAAACTATGCTAGTATTTTTATTCGAATTGTTATTGCTTTGTTAGTGTTATGAGTATGAAGATGAATAGATTTTGAGTTGCCTATCAAAACTCTGTTTTTCCTACAAACACTTGTTTTTTTGTGAACATTTCCATATGAATTCAAGGACCTGCTTTTCCATATCTGTTTAAAAGGCTGTTGAAATTTTGATAGAGATTAATTGAGTCTGTAGATCACTTTGGATATTATTGACAACTTAACAATTTTAAGTCTTTCTACCCATCAACACAAGATGTCTTTCCATTTATTTAGATCTTCAATTTCAGCAATTTTTTATAGTTTTCAGTGTACATTCTCACTTGAGTGTACATCCTCACTTCTCCCTCTCCTTCTCGGTCTCTGGTAACCGCTATTCTCCTCTTCCCTTCTATGAGATCAGCTTTTGCAGTTCCACATATGAGTGAAATCATGTGCCATTTGTTCTTCATTGCTTGGCTTACTTAATATAATGTCCTCTTGGTTCATTCATGTTGTTACAAATGACAGAATTTCATTCTTTTTATGGCTGAAAAGTATTCCATTGTGTACATACGCCACATTTTTAAAAATCTATTCATTCTTTGATGGCCACTTTGGTTAATTTCATATCTTGGCTATTGTGAATAGCGCTGCAGTGAACATGGGAGTGCATGTATCTCTTTGACGTACCAATTTCATTTCCTTTGGATATATATCCATTAGTGAGATTGATGGATCATATAGTAGTTCTACTTTTAATTTTTTGAGAAGCCTCCTTACTGTTGTCTGTAATGGCTTGGATAATGGGGTGGCTATTGGTACGTGTTCCTGAGGAATAGGAAGAATGAGAGAGATAGTGGATTTGGATGTGTGAGTTTAAGGTGCAAGATTCAAGTGGTGGTTCAGTAGGCCTTGGTAGCTCCCCAGAGTTTGCATCTGTAGGTAGAGGTCACTGTTAGTGATAAAGTTGTGGTTTGATTTGTTTTTCAAAATGTAGGTGATACCTACTGTCATGAAACCAATTTTGCAGGTTATAACCAGCATTTTTAAAACGGACTGTAATTTAAAAATCAGAATATATTACAAATAATAAAGAAAAATGGTACCCAACAAAATGTGTGTGTGTGTGTGTCTGTGTGTGCATATGCATGTATATTAGACTGGGACATGAGTGACTTTTTTACTGTGATGTTTCAAAACATGTTTGAAAAAAATTAGTTTAAACCATGATGAAGAGATTTCTCAGGCAGTGTATGAATAACAGACCTGTGGATGAACCTAGTGCATTCTTTTCTTTTCTCTTCTTTTGTGACGGAGTCTGGCTCTGTCGCCCAGGCTGGAGTGCAGTGGCACAATCTCGGCTCACTGCAAGCTCCGCCCCCCGGGTTCACGCCATTCTCCTGCCTCAGCCTCCCGACTACCTGGGACTACAGGCGCCCGCCATCACGCCCGGCTAATTTTTGTATTTTTAGTAGAGACGGGGTTTCACCGTGTTAGCCAGGATGGTCTCGACCTCCTGACTTTGTGATCCGCCCGCCTTGGCCTCCCAAAGTGCTGGGATTACAGGCGTGAGCCACCGCGCCCGGCCAAAACCTAGTGGTTTCTAATATGTAGCTCTCATGTTTTCAGATGAGTTTTAAGATACAGGCCCAAATTTTGTTAGTTCTTATTCTCTACTTTTGAATTATTTACAGGAAATATATTTTACTGAGCTGATCTACTGAGAGGTGGGCACAAATCCTTTAGACTTTATTGAAAAATTAGTTGTCCAAAATCTTCTAGGATACTCCCACTTAATTACATATATGAGGCCGGGCGCGGTGGCTCACACCGGTAATCCCAGCACTTTGGGAGGCCAAGGCGGGCAGATCACGAGATCAGGAGATCGAAACCATCCTGGCTAACACGGTGAAACCCCGTCTCTACTCAAAACACAACAAATTAGCCGGACAAGGTGGCCGGCGCCTGTAGTCCCACCTACCTGGGAGGCTGAGGAAGGAGAATGGCGTGAACCCGGGAGGTGGAGCTTGCAGTGAGCCGAGATAGTGCCACTGCACTCCAGCCTGGGCGACAGAACGAGACTCCGTCTCGGGGAAAAAAAAATTACATATATGAGCACCCTTTGAAATGCTTACAGCAGAGCTAGCTGCCTAAAATTAACATTCATCTAACACTGCAAGCCAGAACGTGTTCTGAGTAGTGCTCTGGAAGGGACTTTGGATTTTGAGAAAAAAGGTTGGGAGCAGTTTGAACATAAAAACTATTTTCTCATGGGTTCCATTTTGATGTTCATTAAACTCACAACTTCTTTGTTTTCTTCATGTCTTCTTAGAAAGTGATTTCTCACTTTGAGAGTGAACTCTTTGCAGGACTTGAGCATAGTGATCACAACTGCTGCCTCCCCTCTGAGAAATCTGGAGGATGAGGTTCTCCATCTGTCTTGACTACTTGAGAGACCCAGTGACCATTGACTGTGGTCATGTCTTTTGCTACCACTGCATCATTCAGGTCTGTGAATCTACTAGGCAACCATTACATTGTTCTCTGTGCAAGCCAGCTTTTAAGAAAAAATATCTGCCATGTGTGGCAGATGGCCAACCTGATGGAGAACATTTGGAGAATGAAGGTAGATGAGGAGAGACAACCCAGAGAGGAAAGACCACCTGAGCAAAAAGCAGAGAAGCTGTGTAGGCGACACCTGGAGAAGCTCCATTAATGCTTCAAAGGATGACCAGCAGATGGTGTATGTGATGCGTTGGAGTCCCGAGAACACAAGCACCATGCTGCTGTTCTCCTAGAAAAGGCTGCACAGCCTCGTCGGGTAAGAATCGTGTTGGACCCCAGCTCTGTTCTTTTAGCCAGAAAGTTCTATGGTACCTTCAGGATAAGGTGCAGGTTTTTTGCATTACTTTATTGAGGTATGATTGACATGTAAAAGCTATACATATTTAATGTATACCAATTAATGAGTTTGTAGATGAGTATACACCTCTGAAACCATCATCACAGCAAAAACACGTCTATCACTTTCCAAACTTTCCACACACCCTCTTTATTGTTATTATTTTGTGTGTGTGATAAGAACACTTAGTCAAAGATCTATTCTTTTAGTAAATTTGAAGTATACAATACAGTGTTTTTAGCTATAGGCATTATGCTATATAGTAGGTCTCTAGAACTTCTTTATCTTGCATAACTGAAACTTTGTAACTTTGACCATCAACCCTCCATTCCCCGTCCCCACCAGTCCCTGGCAACCACCATTCTACTCTGTTTATGTAAGTTTGACTGTTTTAGATTCCACATATAAGTGAGGTCGCACAGTATGTGTCTGGCATATTCACTTAGCATAATGTTCTCAAGGTCCATCCATGTTGTTACCAATGGCAGAATTTCCTTCTCTTTAAGGCTGAATAATATTGCATTGTATGTATATACCACATTTTCTTTATTCATCCATCAGTGAACATTTAGGGTTTTTTAAATCTTGGTTATTGTGAATAGTGCTGCAAAGAACATGGGAAGTATATGGGCTATAAATACCCAGAAGTGAAATTGCTGGATCATATGGTAGTTCTGTTTTTAATTATTTGAGGAGCTTCTTACTGTTTTTATAATGGCTGTACCAGTTTGCATTTCCACCAACAGCGTATCAGGGTTCCCCTTTCTCCACATCCTCACCAACGCTTCTTATCTTTTAAAAAATATAATAGCATTTCTAAGAGGTGTAAGACAGTTCAAATTCTTTAGCATGAAAGATTCTTGGTAAAGTACTACCCTTTGCATTTGGATAATAAAGCTGGTTTGGTTTTATATCTTTTATGGAAGTAAGTCTATCACATTGCCTTGATGGTTTCATCTCTGAGGTTCAGATCAAGTCTTATCAGCTATACAGAATACCAGCACTCCTGATAGCTCTCGTAGTATATAGCTTCAAGTGGTATGTACACAGTTGTTATAAAAATATTTTTGAGGTCTGGTGCGGTGGCTCACGCCTGTAATCCCAGCACTTTTGGAGGCCGAGGCGGGCGGATCACAGGGTCAGGAGATCGAGACCATCCTGGCACACACAGTGAAATCCTGTCTCTACTAAAAATACAAAAAATTAGCCGGGCGTGGTGGCGGGCGCCTGTAGTCCCAGCTACTCGGGAGGCTGAGGCAGGAGAATGGCGTGAACCCGGGAGGCGGAGCTTGCAGTGAGCCGAGATCGCGCCACTGCACTCCAGCCTGGGCGACAGAGCGAGACTCCATTTCAAAAAAAAAAAAAATTTTTTTTCACAATATTTCAGCCTGTATAAAATCTATGTAATTTTTCTTTCAGAATTTAACAAGGAAAATATTATTTCCTCTGGGGTCCTAGTATGTTTCTTCTTGCCTGCTAAAGAAACATCAGGCCAGGCTTGGTGGCTCACATCTGTAATCCTAGCGCTTTGGGAGGCTAAGGCAGGTGAATCACTTGATGTCAGGGACTCAAGACCAGCCTGGCCAACATGGCAAAACCTCATCTCTACCAAAATTCAAAAATTAGCCAGGCATGGTGGCATGCACCTGTAATCCCAGCTACTTGGGAGGCTGAGGCAAGAGAATCGCTTGAACCCAGGAAGCGGAGCTTGCAGTGAGCCAAGATTGTGCCATTGCACTCCAGCCTGGGCAGCAGTGTGAGACTTTGTCTCAAAAAAAAGAAAAAAAAAAAGAAAAGAAAAAAGAAACATCAGGCAGTTCATTGTTTCCCTTTTCTCTTTGCCTGCCAATTTAGTCATCCTCTTAATAATCTGGAGTTGCTGCCAGGTGTGGTGGCTCATGCCTGTAATCCCAACACTTTGGGAAGCCAAGGCAGGAGGATAGCTTGAGAACAGGAGACCAGCCTGGGCTATAGCAAGACCCCATCTCTACAATAATAATAATAATAGTTATTATTATTATTATTTGGAGTTGGCATATATACTTTCCTTGACTTTTTGTGTTAATTTTTTGTTTCTATTTTTTTTTCTTTTTACAAGACAGGGTCTCACTATGTTGCCAAGGTATGCCCTCAAAGACTTGGGCTCAAGAGATACTTCACCCTTATTTTCCCAAATAGCTGGGACTACAGGCACATACCACTGCACCCACCTTCTATTTTTGTTTTATTAATTAATTTTAATTTTAATTGTCTGTATTTTTGGTAGAAAAGGATAGTGTAAATATAAATTAGAAACTATACCATAAGTCTTGTTAGTTATAATGATAATACGATATTATTTTGTCTTACTTCTAAGAAATTGCTCTAGGCCATTGTATCACTCAATGGATCTTCCTTATTAACTAGAATGGAAATTGTTCCACACAACCATTATTAAACTACACATGGTCAAATGCAGTTGGATTTCACTCTGGAATCACTTTGCATCTCCCTTTTTTCATTGAGGTCATTTTCATCTTGATCTTGAGACTATTCAAGTTTATTTTCTTTTTCTTTTTCTTTTTTTTTCTTTTCTTGAGACAGAGTTTTGCTCTTGTTGCCCAGGCTGGAGTGCAGTGGCGCGATCCCGACTCACTGCAACCTCCGCCTCCAAGGTTCAACTGATTCTCCTGCCTCAGCCTCCCAAGTAGTTGGAATTACAGGTGCTCACCACCATGCCCAGCTAATTTTTGTATTTTTTAGTAGAGACAGGGTTTCACCATGTTGGCCAGGCTGGTCTTTAACTCCTGACCTCAGGTAATCCACCTGCCTCGACCTCCCAAAGTACTGGGATTACAGGCATGAGCCACCACGCCCAGCCCGAGACTATCCTTGTTTATTTTCATAGGGCAAAATTCTAAACCATCGGAAGATTCTGAAGGGATACAAGGATAGCATTCAGAATTCTCAATCTATGGGAGAAGATGAGATTCAGGCCCTGGTGGTAAGAGAGGTCTCTAGTAAATGTTCTGTATGAATGTGTGTATGTGTGTAGGGCAGGGGTGTGTGTGTAGGTAGTAGCGGGGCATAGGTTAAGGAGAGGAAGGGGTATGTGTGTGGGGGAAGTATTGAGGAATGGGGAGGGGGAGAGTGATCAAAGAGATTTCTGTTCTGAACTCATCCTCAGAAGATCTCACACATGTTCTGGTGTTCCCTAGCCTCTCAAAAAGGTCACTTTTCTCTTTCTGCATTTACTGTAGACAACATTTCAGAACCACAGGCAAGACATTGTATCAGTGTTTGAATAGGGCCATCGGTTTTTGAGAGAAAGGGAACAGTACCTGTTGGAGCAGCTGGTAGGGCTAGAGCAAGAACTCACCAAAAGGAGGAACAGCCGTGTCATCAAGGGTTCTGAGGAGGTGGTCCAGCTTGGGACCCTGATCACTGAGTTGGAGAAGTCTCGGCAGCCAGCACTTGAACTTTTGAAGGTAAAGGACCAACCAAACTGTATCTGAGTCCTCTTGCTCTATGACTACGGTGTGGCCTATTTGCAAGAGATTTGGACCAAGAGTCAAGAGAGACAAGGTGTTATTCTCATTTACTGAATTCTTTAATAACTGAATTAGCCAACCAATAGGTTTTAAGCCCCAAAGTGCAGTGGGCAGGGGTCTATAATATGCACAGACCATATAATGGAATATTAAGATCTGTACATTTATAATTACAACAAATAATCTGATGTTAAATCTTCCAGTCAGATTGGATGCCACAAGAATTCTGGAAACAGCTAGTGTTTAGTCAGAGAAGCCTTCAAAGAAGAGGCTTTTGATGTTGGCCTTGAAGGAAACGTAAAGATTTATTTTATTTTATATTTATTTATTTATTTGAGATGGCATCTCCCTCTGTCACCCAGGCTGGAGTGCAGTGGCGCGATCTCAACTCACTGCAACCTTCACCTCCTGGGTTCAAGTGATTCTCCTGCCTCAGCCTCCTGAGTAGCTGGGACTACAGGCACCCATCACCACGCCCAGCTAAGTAAGATTTAGATTGTCAGAAAGGAGCTAAACATTCCACTTGGTAGGGGGTGGGGACACACTAGTTACAATTAGATAAATGAATGTAATAATAAACTTGGTATATGTGTTGGCAGGTGGGCATAGGTGCTGGGGAAGATAGGAGTAGGAAGACTGATAAGAAGGGGACATAGAATGAAGGTAGCTACCTTTCTGGAAGAGTCAGATTAAGTGAGGGAGAAGTGAAAAGTATGATGGGGCCAACTGAGTTGAGGCCTTCCAAAGCAGGCTGAAATTTGAGCCTTAACTGAATAGACAATGGGATTCTTAACAGATTTTTATCTGTCTATAAATCAAGAAAGGTTTCTGAAGAGGATAGTCTAGAACTCGAATGAAAGACATGAAGGGGAAGCATTTGTCCTTATAAATTGAAACTGCAGGCCAGGCACAGTGGTTCACACCTGTAATCCCAGCACTTTGGGAGGCCAAGGCAGGCAGATCATGAGGTCAGGAGATCGAGACCATCCTGGCTAACACAGTGAAACCGCGTCTCTACTAAAAAATACAAAAATGAAGCCGGGTGTGGTGGTGGGTGCCTGTAGTCCCAGCTACTCCGGAGGCTGAGTCAGGAGAATGGCGTGAACCCGGGAGGCGGAGTTTGCAGTGAGCCGAGATTGTGCCACTGCACTCCAGCCTGGGCGACAGAGCCAGACTCCATCTCA
Organism: Homo sapiens; assembly: GCF_000001405.40. Classification (NCBI taxonomy): domain Eukaryota; kingdom Metazoa; phylum Chordata; class Mammalia; order Primates; family Hominidae; genus Homo; species Homo sapiens. Next base: position 1,501,550 of record NT_167244.2, read on the forward strand.
AAAAAAAAAAGAAAGAAACTGCAGGCTGGGAGTAGTGGCTCATGCCTATAATCCCAGCACTGTGGGAGGCTGAGGCAGGCAGATAACGAGGTCAGGAGTTCGAGACCATCCTGGCC
>NT_167244.2:1606256-1632633 GCF_000001405.40 Homo sapiens
TTTACTCAGGTATCAAGACACTGATAAAGGGGAATGTCCAGATATTTTCAGGTCTATTGGATACAGGGTCCAATTTCACACTGATACCTGGGGAACCAAAGCACCCTCATGGACTTCTATTAGAGGAGAGCCACACAGGGAACTGAAAATAATTTCCTGTCTCAGGTCCACCCGTATCTCCGTGGATTCTCTGTGTCCACACATCTGCTTGGTGGTTATTTTTCTGGTTTCCAAATATGTAATTGATGGATTTATTTTGTACATTAGTTATTTCACTCACACTTTAGTCATTTCACCTGTGGAATAAAGGATTTGTAGTAAGAAAGGCCAAGTGGATGCCCCTAAGAGAGCTTCTAATATCGACCAAGATAGAAATTTTAAAACAATGTAGTATTTGAGGGGCAATGAAATAAACTGTCACTCAAAGACATAAAAGATGCAGGGGTTGTGGTTTCATCATCAACTATTGAATTTACCACTCCAGTTCTAGCAAAAATTGGATGGATGATAACAGATGACAGTGGATTAATGAAAATGTAACCTATAATTAGCCCCAACTTCAGCAGCTGTGCTGAATGTGATATGTTTAAAAAAAAAAGATTTATTGTTTTTGTATATTATATAATGCCATTGATCTGCCTAAATGCATTCTTTTAAATACCTATAAAAAGGAGGGCCAGAAGCGAGTTTTATTCACAGAGGACAAATAATAATACATTTTAAAAAATATTTTATTTTTGATTTTCAATTTTTGTGGGTACATAATAGCTGCATATATTTATGGGGTACATGAGATGTTTTGATACAGGTATGCAATGTGAAATAAGCACATCATGGAGAATGGGGTATCCATTCCCTCAAGCATTTATCCTTTGAGTTACAAACCATTCAATTACACTATTTTTAAATGTGCATTATTGACTATAGTCCCCCTATTGTGCTATCAAATAGTAGGTCTTATTCTTCTAAATTTTTTTTTACCGATTAAACATCCCCACCTTCCCTTCAGCCCCCCACTACCATTCCTAGCCTCTGGTAACCATTCTTCTACTCTTTATGTCCATTAGTTCAATTGTTTTGAATTTAGGTCCCACAAATAAGTGAGAACATGCCATGTTTGCCTTTCTGTGCCTGGCTTATTTCATTTAACATAATGATCTCCACTTCCATCCATGCTGTTGCAAATGACTGGATCTCATTCCTTTTTATGGCTGAATAGTACTTCATTGTGTATACATACCAAATTTTCCTTATCCATTCATCTGCTGTTAGACATTTAGGTTGCTTCCAAATCTTAGCTATTGTAAACAGTGTTGTAAAAAACATAGGAGTGCAGATATCTCTTCCATATACTGATTTTCTTTTTTGAGACAGGGTCACACTTTGTCACCCAGGCTGGAGTGCAGTGGCATGATCTTGGCTCACTGCAACCTCCACCTCCTAGGTTCAAGTGATCCTACCTCAGCCTCCACAGTAGCTAGGACTATAGGTGTGAACCACTACAACTGCCTAATTTTTTTTTTGTATTTTGTAGAAATCAGGTTTTGCCATGTTGCTCGGGCTGGTCTTGAACTTCTGGGCTCAAGTGATCTGCCCTCCTCGGCCTCCCATAGTGCTGGGATTACAGGTGTGAGCCACCATGCAAAACGCTGGTTTTGTCTTTTGTGGGGTATATACCCAGCAGTAGGATTGTTGCATCATATCGCAACTCAATTTTTAGTTTTCTGAGGAACCTCTAAACTGTTATCCATAGTGGTTGTACTAATTTACATTCCCATCAACAGTGTACGAGGGTTCCCTTTTATCCACATCCTCACCAGCATTTGTTATTGCCTGTCTTTTGGATATAAGCCATTTTAACTGGGGTGAGATTATATCTCATTGCAGTTTTGATTTGCATTTCTCTGAGGATCAATAATCATCAGCACCTTTTCATATGCCTGTTTGTCATTTTTATGTCCTTTCTTTTTTTTCTTTTTCTTTTTTTTGAGACAATGTCTCTCACTCTGTCGCCCAGGCTGGAGTGCATTGGTGCAATTATGATTCACTGCAGGCTCAAGTGATCCTCCCATCTCAGCTTCCTAAGTAGCTGGGACTACAGGTGTGCACCACCACTCCCAGCTATTTTTTATTTTTGTATTTTGCAGAATTGGGGTTTGACCATATTGCTCAGTCTGGTCTCAAACTTCTGGGCTCAATTCCATCTGCCTTGGCCTCCTAAAGTGCTAGGATTAGAGGCATAAGCCACTGTACCTGGCTTTGTATGTCTTCTTCCTTTTTCTTTTTTTTTTTTTTTTTTTTTTTTTTGTGAGACGGAGTCTCACTTTGTTGCCCAGGCTGGAGTGCAGTGGTGTGATCTCGGCTTACTGCAACCTCTGTCTCCCAGGTTTAAGCGATTCTCCTGCCTCAGCCTCCTGAGTAGCTGGGATTACAGGTGTGCGCCACCATGCCTGGCTTATTTTTGTATTTTTAGTAGAGACGGAGTTTCACAATGTTGGTCAGGCTGGTCTCGAACTCCTGACCTCAAGTGATCCACCCGCCTGAGCCTCCCAAAGTGCTGGGATTACAGGCATGAGCCACCACGCATGGCCTGTATGTCTTCTTTTGAGAAATGTCTATTCAAATCTTTTGCCCATTTTTTTACTTAGACTTTTAGAATTTTTTTTTTTTTTTTTTTTTTTACTATAGAGTTGTTTGAGCTTCTTATATACTCTGGTTATTATTTCTTTGTCAGATGGGTAGTTTGCAAATATTTTCTCCCATTCTGTGGGTTGTCTCTTTATTGATTGTATCCTTTGCTTTGTAGAAGCTTTTAAACTTGATGTGATACTATTTGTCCAGTTTTATTTTGGTTGCCTGTGCTTGTGGGGTATTGCTCAAGAAATTTTTGGCCAGACTACTGTCCTGGAGGTTTTCCCCAATGTTTTCTTATAGTAGTTTCATGTTTGAGGTCTTAGATTTAAGTCTTTATTACATTTTGAATTTATTTTTTATTTTTTGAGATGGAGTCTTGCTCTGTCGCCAGGCTGGAGTGCAGTGGCACAATCTCAGCTCACTGCAACCTCCACCTCCTGGGTTCAAGCGATTCTCCTGCCCCAGCCTCCTGAGTAGCTAGGACTGCAGGCACATGCCATCACGCCCAGCTAATTTTTGTATTTTTAGTGGGTGGGGGGGGGTGAGTTTCACCATGTTGGTCAGGATGGTCTCAATCTCTTCACCTCGTGATACGCCTGCCTCAGCCTCCCAAAGTGCTGAGATTACAGGTGTAAGCCACCATGCCTAGCCTTGATTTGACTTTTGTCTACAGTGAGAGGTAGGGGTCTAGTTTCATTCTTCTGCATATGGATATCCAGTTTTCCCAGCACCATTTCATTGAAGAGACTGTCTTTTCTTTTCTCCAGTATAAGTACTTGGCAACTCTGTCAAAAATGAGTTCCCTGTGAGTGTGTGGATTTGTTTCTAGGTTCTCTATTCTGTTCTGTTGGACTATGTGTCTGTTTTTATGTCAGTACCATGCTGTTTTGGTGATTATAGCTCTGTAGCATAATTTGAAGTCAGGTAATGTGATTCCTCCAGTTTTGATCTTTTTGCTTAATATAATTTTGGCTATTCTGGGCATTCTGTGTTTTCATATAAATTTTGGGATTTTTTTTTCTATTTCTCTGAAGACTATTATTGGTATTTTGATAGGGATTGCATTAAATCTGTAGATTGCTTTGGGTAGTATGGACATTTTAACAATATTGATTCTTCCAATCCATAAAGATGGAATTTTTTCCATTTTTTTTGTGTCCTCTTCAATTTCTTTCATCAATGTTTTATAATTCTCCTCATAGATATCTTGCACATTTTTGGTTAATTCCTAGGTATTTAATTTTATGTGTGGCTATTGTAAATGAAATTACCTTCTTAAATTTAAAATTTTTCAAATTGTTCACTGTTGACATATAGAAATGCTACTGGTTTTTATATGTTGATTTTGTGTCCTGCAACTTTACTGAATTTATTGATTCTAATAGTTTTCCTGTGGAGCCTTTAGGTTTTTTCCAAATATAAGTTCATATCATCTGCAAACTAGGGTAATTTAACTTCTCCCTTTCCAGTTTGGATGGCCTTTATATCTTCTCTTGTCTGATCGCTCTAGCTAGAACATCCAGTACTTTGTTGAATAACAGTGGTGACAGTGAACATCCCTGTTGTGTTCCAGATCTTATAGGAAAGTCTTTCACTTTTTCCCCATTCAGTATGATACTAGCTGTGGGTCTGTCATATCTGGCTATTACGTTGAGGTATATTTCTTTTATACAGTTTTTTGAGGGTTTTTATCATGAAGGGATGTTGGATTTTATAAACTACTTTTTCAGCATCAATAGAAATAATCATATGGTTTTAATCATTCTTTTTGATATGATGTATTACATTGATTGATTTGCATGTGTTGAACCATCCTTGCATTCCAGGGATAAATCCCACTTGGTCATGATAAATGATTTTTTTTTTAATGGAGTCTCACTCTGTCACCAAGGCTGGAGTGCAGTGCCACAATCTCAGCTCACTGCAACCTCCACCTCCTGGGTTCAAGTGATTCTCCTGCCTCAGTCTCCTGAGTAGCTGGGATTACAGGCATGCACCACCACACTCGGCTAACTTTGTATTTTCAGTAGAGACGAGGTTTCACCATGTTGGTCAGGCTGGTCTTGAACTCCTGACCTCAGGTGATCTGCCCACCTCGGCCTCCCAAAGTGCTGGGATTAGAGGCTTAAGCCACTGCACCCGACCCTGATGAATGATCTTTTTAATGTATTGTTGAATTTAGTTTGCTAATATTTTGCTGAGGATTCTGGCATCAATATTCATCAGAGAAATTGGCCAGCAGTTTTCTTTTTTTGATGTGTCTTTGTCTGGTTTTGGTATCAGGGTGATACTGGTCTCCTAGAATGACTTTGGAAATATTCTCTCCTCCTCTATTTTTCAATAGCTTGAGTGGGATTGGTATTAGTTCTTCTTTAAATGTTTGGTAGAATTCAACAGTGAAGCCATCGGGTCCTTGGTTTTCTTTAGTGGGAGACTTTTTATTATGGCTTCAACCTTGTTACTTGTTATTAGTCTGTTCAGGTTTTGGATTTCTTCCTGGTCCAGTCTCAGTAGGTTGTATGTGTCTAGGAATTGTCAATTTCTTCTAGATTTTCCAATTTATTGGCATAGAGTTGCTCATAGTAGCCCCTAATGATCCTTTGAATTTCTGCAGTGTCAGTTGTAATGTCTTTTTCATTTCTGATTTGTATCTTGTCTCTTTTTTCTCAGTCTTGCTAAAGGCTTGTCAGTTTTGTTTAACTTTTGAAAAAAAGCAACTTTTTGTTTCATTGTTCTTTTGCATTGATTTTTATTTCAATTTTATTTATTTATGCTCTAATTTTTATTATTTGTTTTCTTCTAATTTTGTGTTTGTTTTGCTCTTGCTTTTCTGGTTAAGGTTCATTGTTAAATTGCTTATTTGAAGTTTTTCCTCTTTTTTCATGTAGGCACTTATAGCTATCAATTTGCCTCTTAGTACTGCTTTTGCCGTATCCCATAGGTTTTGGTATGTTGTGTTTCCTTTATCATTTGTTTCAAGAAATTGTTCAATTTCCTTCTTAATTTCTTCATTGACTCAATGGTCATTCAGGAGCATATTGTTTAATTTTCATGTATTTGTAGTTTCAAAAATTCCTCTTGTTATTAGTTTCTAGTTGTATTCCACTGTGGTCAGAGAAGATGCTTGATGGTATTCAACTTTTTTAATGTTTTAAGACTTGTGACCTAACATATGGTCTATCCTTGAGAATGATACATGTGCTAAAAAAGAATGTGTATTCTGCAGCCATTGGATAAAATGTTCTGCAAGTATGTATTAGATCCATTTGATCTACAGTGCAGATTAAGTCTGATGTTTCTTTTTTATTTTCTGTCTGGAAGATCTGTCCAGTGCTGAAAATGTGGTGTTGAAGTCTCCAGCTATTATTGTATTGGGGTCACTCTCTCTCTTTAGCTCTAATCGTATTTGCTTTATATATCTGGGTGCTGCAGTGTTGAGTGCATATATATTTATATTTGTTATATCCTCTTGCTGAATTGAACCCTGTATTAGTCTATTCTTGCACTGCTATAAAGAAATACCCGAGACTGGGTAATATATAGAGAAAAGAGGTTTAATTGGCTCACAGTTCTGCAGGCTGTACAGGAAGCATGGCTGGGGAGGCCTCAGAACACTTACAATCATGACAAAAGGTGAAGGGGAGGCAAGCCTGTCTTACATGGCTGGAGCAGGAGGAAAGTGGGAGGAGGTGGCACACACTTTTAAACAATCAGATCTCACAATAACTCACTCACTGTCATGAGAACAGCACCCAGGGGGATGGTGTTAAACCATGAGAAACCACCCCCATTATCCAATCCTCTTCCACCAGGCTCAACCTCCAAAATTTAGGATTACAATTGAACATGAGATTTTGGTGGGGATGCAGATCCAAATCATATTATTCCACCTCTGGTGTCTCCCAAATCTCATGTCCTTCTCATACTGCAAAATACAGTTATATCTTCCCAACAGTCCCTCAAAGTCTTAACTCATTCCAGCATTAATTCAAAAGTCCAAAGTCCAGAGTCTCAACCTGAGACAAGGCAAGTCTCTCCCACCTGTGAGCTTACAAAATAAAAAAACAGTTAGTTACTTCCAACATACAGTGGGGGTACAGGAATTGGGTAAACACTCCCATTCCAAAAGTGAGAAATTGGCCAAAAGAAAGGGGCTACTGGACCCATGCAAGTCTGAAACCCAGCAGGTAGTCATTAAATCTTAAAGCTCCAAAATACTCTCCTTTGACTCCATATCTCACATCCAGGGCACACTGGTGCAAGGGGTGGGCTCCCAAGGCCTTGGGCAGCTCAGCCCCTGGGACTTTGCAGGGTAAGCCACTGTCACTGCTTTCACGGGCTGGCATTGACTGCCTGTGGCTTTTCCAGTTGTACAGTGCAAGCTGTCATTGGCAGATCTATCATCCTGGAATCTGGAGGACAGTGGCTGTCTTCTCACAGCTCCACTAGGCAGTACACCAGAGGGGAAGCTGTGTGGGAACTCCAACCCCAAATTTCCCCTCCACACTACCCTAGTAGAGGTTCTCCATGAGGGCTCTGTCCCTGCAGCTGGCTTCTGCCTGGACATCCAGGCTTTCCCACACATACTCTGAAATCTAGTTGGAGGCTCCCAAGCCTCAATTCTTGCACTCTGTGCACCTACAGGCTTAATTTAACACCACACGGGAGCCACTAAGGCTTATAACTTGCATCCTATGGAGCAGCAGCCTGAGCTATACCTGGGGCCCTTTGAGCTGAAGCTGGAGCTGGAGCAGCTGGGATTTGGAGAGCAGTTTCCTGAGGTTGTGCAGGGCAGCAGGACCCTGAGCCTGGCCCAGGAAACCATCCTTCCCTCCTAGGCCTTTGGGCCTGTGATGGGAGAGGCTGCCCCCAAGGTATCTGAAATGCCTTCAAGGTGTTTTTCCCACTATCTTGGCTATCAACATTTTGCTCCTTGTTACTTGCAATTTTCTGCAGCTAGCTTGAATTCCTCTCCAGAAAATGGTTTTTTTCTTTTCTACAACATGGCCAGGCTGCAAATTCTCCAAACTTTTACACTCTGCTTCCTTTTTAAATATAAGTTCCAGTTTCTTGTCATGTCTTTGCTCACAAATATGAGCACAGACTACCAGAAGCAGCCAGGCCACGTCTTGAACGCTTTGCTGCTTAGAAATTTCTTCTGCCAGATACCCTAAATCTTCGCTCTCAAGTTCAAAGTTCCACAGATTCCTAGGGCAGGGGCACAATGTCTCCAACCACAATGTCCTAACAAAAGTGACCTTCACTCCAGGTCCCAATAAGTCCCTCATCTCCATCTGAGACCTCCTCAGCCTGGACTTCATTGTCCATATCACTATCAGTATTTTGGTCAAAACAATTTAACAAATCTCTAAGAAATTCCAAACTTCCCCTCATCTTCCTATCTTCGGAGCCCTCCACACTCTTCCAACCTCTGTCTATTTCCCAGTTCCACTGCTGTTTCCACATTTTCAGGTATCTTTCTAGCAATGCCTCACTCCTCTTTACCAATTTTCTGTATTATTCTGTTCTCACACTGCTATAAAGAAATACCCAAGACTTGTTAATTTATGAAGAAAAGAGGTTGAATTGGCTCATAGTTCCACAGGCTGTTCAGGAAGCATAGCGGCATCTGATTCTGGGAAGGCCTGAGGGAGCTTTTACTCATGGAATAATGCAAAGTGGGAGCAAGCATCTACATAGCAGGAGTAGACCAAGGCAAGCGGGTGGTGTGGAGAGGTGCTACACACTTTTAAGCAACCAGATTTCAGAAGAACTCACTATCATGAGAACAGCACTAAGAAGATGGTGCTGAATTAGTCATGAAAGATCCACCCCCATGATCTAATCACGTCCCACCAGGCCCCACCTCCAACATTGAGGATTACAATAGAACACGAAATTTGGGTGGGGCACAAATGGAAACCATATTAACCCCTTTATCATTGTATAGTGACTTTATTTGTCTCATAGTTTTTGTATCAAAATCAATACTCCTTCTCTTTTTCCTGGTTTCCATTGGCATGGAATAACTCTTTCCAACTCTTTACTTTCAGCCTATGTGTGTCTTTATAGTTTAAGTGTGTTTCTTGTAGGCAACAGATCAATGGGTCTTGTTTTCTCCATTCATTCAGCCAGTCTATGTCTTTTGATTGGAGAGTTTAGTCCATATTTCCATTCAATGTATTATCGATAAGTAAAGACTTACTCCTGCCTTGTTATTTATTTGTTTTCTGGTTGTTTTGTGGTCTTCTTCTTTCTTTTCTTCCTGTCTTCCTTTAGGGAAGGTAGTTTGCTCTGGTGATATGATTTAGGTTTTTGCTTTTTATTTTTTATGTATCCAGTGTATGTTTTTAGGTTTGAGGTTACCATAAGGATTACAAATACTATTTTGTAACCCATTATTTTAACCTGGTAACACTGTTTGCATTAACAAACAAAAAACTAATAAAAACTCTACATCTTAACTTCATCCCCCCACTTTTTAACTTTTTGTTGTTTCTAATTTTATCTTATTTTTCTGACTGGTCTTGAAAAGTTGTAGTTACTATTTTTGATTGGTTTATCATTTATTCTTTCTACTTACACACCACAGTTACAATGTTATCACACTTTGGGTTTTTCTGTGTACTTACTCTTAACAGTGAGTTTTTTACCTTTAGATGATTCTTTGTTGCTCATTAATGTCTGTTTCTTTCTGACCAAAGTACTCCCTTAAGCGTTTCTTATGGGACCAGTCTAGTGTTGATGAAATCCCTCAGCTTTTGTTTGTCTGGGGAAGTCTTTGTTTATTCTTCATGTTTGAAGGATATTTTTGCTGGATATACTATTCTAGGGTAAAAGGTTTTTTCCCTTCAGCACTTTAACATATGTCATGTCACTCTCTCCTGGCTTGTAAGGTTTCCACTGAAAAATATACTGCCAGATGTATTGGAGCTCCATTGTATGTTATCTGTTTCTTTTCTCTTGCTGCTTTTAGGATCCTTTCTTTACCCTTGTCCTGTGGGAGTTTGATTATTAAATGCCTTGAGGTAATCTTTGGGTTAAATTGGCCTGGTGTTCTATAACCTTCTTGTACTTGGATATAAATATCTTTCTGTAGGTTTAGGAAGTTCTATGTTATTATCCCTTTCAACAAACTTTCTATTCCTATCTCTTTCTCTATCTCTTCTTTAAGGCCAATAACTCCTAGATTTGCCCTTAAGAAGTTATTTTCTAGATCCTGTGGGCATGCATCATTGTTTTTTATTTTTTGTCTCCTCTGAATGTGTATTTTTCTTTCTTTCTTTTTTTTTTTTTTTTTTTTTGAGATGGAGTCTTGCTCCTTCACCAGGCTAGAGTGCAATGGTGTGATCTCGGCTCACTGCAACCTCTGCCTCCTGGGTTCAAGCAATTCTCCTGCCTTGGCCTCCCAAGTAGCTGGGATTACAGGCATGAGCCACCACACCTGGCTAATTTTGTATTTTTAGTAGAGATGGGGTCTCTCCATGTTGGTCAGGCTGGTCTCAAACTGCCGACCTCAGGTGATCCGCCTACCTCAGCCTCCCAAAGTGCTGGGATTACAGTCGTGAGGTGAGCCACTGTGCCCAGCTTTGTTACTGTTAATAGTGCTGCAATGAACATACACTTGCATGTGTCTTTATGGTGGAATGATTTATATTCCTTTAGGTAAATATCCAGTAATGGGATTGGTGAGTCAAATGGTAGTTCTGTTTTTAGCTCTCTGAGGAATCACCACACTGCTGTCCACAGTGATTGAACTAATTTACACTCCTAACAAGTGTATAAGTTCCTTTTCTCCATAACCTCACCAACATCTATTATTTTTTTACTTTTTTGTAGCCATCCTGACTGGCAGATGATATCTCATCATGGTTTTGATTTTGCATTTCTCTAATGATCAGTGATAATTGAGGTTTTCTTTAACACGCTAGTTGGCTGTATGTATGTCTTTTTTGAAAAGTGTCTGTTCATGTCCTTTGCCCATTTTTTAATGGAGTGGGTTTTTTTTTTCCTGTAACTGTGTTTAAATTCCTTATAGATGCTAGATATTAGCCCCTTGTCAGATGCATAGTTTGCAAAAATTTTCTGTCATTTGGTAGATTGTCTGCCCTGTTGTTTATTTTGCTATGAAAAAGCTCTTAAATCCAATTTGTCCATTTTTGCTTTTGTTACAATTGCTTTTGGTGTCTTCATCATGAAATATTTGCCAGTTCCTATGTCCAGAATGGTATTGCCTAAGTTATCTTCAGGATTTTTATAATTTTGGGTTTTAACTCTTTAAACCATCTTAATTTTTGTACATAGTAAAAGGGGTCCAGTTACGATCTTCTGCATATGGCCAGCCAGTTATCCCAGCACCATTTATTGAATAGGGAGACCTTTCCCCATTGCTTGTTTTTGTCAACTTTGTTGAAGATCAGATGGCTGTAGGTTTGTGGCCTTATTTTTGGGCTCTCTATTCTGTCCCACTGGTCTGTGTGTCTGCTTTTGTACCAGTACCATGCTGTTTTGGTCATGGTAGCCCTGTAGTTTGAAGTTAGGTAATGTGATGCCTCCACCTTTGTTCTTTTTGTTTAGGATTGCCTTGACTACTCAGGCTTTTTGGTTCCATATGAATTTTAAGTTTTTTCTAGTTCTGTGAAAAATGTAATTGATAGTTTGATAGGAATAGCATTGAATCTATAAATTGCTTTGGGTAGTATGGCCACTTTAATGATATTGATTCTTCCTAGCCATGAGCATGGAAAGTTTTTCCATTTGTTTGTGTCATCTCTGATTTCTTTGAGCAGCGTTTGTGATTCTCATTGTAGAGATCCTTTACTTCCTTGGTTAGCTGCATTCCTGGGTATTTTATTCTTTTTTGTGGCAATTATGAATGGGATTGTGCTCCTGATTTGGCTCTTGGCTTGGCGACTGTGTATAGGAATGTTAGTGATTTTTGTACACTGATTTTGTCTCCTGAAACTTTGCTGAAATTATCAGATGAAGGACCTTTTGGGCTGAGGCTATGGGGTTTTCTAGATATAGAATCATACTGTCTGCAAACAAGGATAGTTTGACTTCCTCTCTTCCTATTTGGATGCCCTTTATTATTTCTGTTGCCTGACTGCTGTGATCAGGACTTTCAACACTATATTGAATAGGAGTGGTGAGAAAGGGCTTCCTTATCCTGTGCCACTTTTCAAGGGGAATGCCTGCAGCTTTTGCCCATTCAGTATGATGTTGGCTGTGGGTTTGTTATAGTTGGCTCTTATTATTCTGAGTTATGTTCCTTCAACACAAGATGGGAAGCTCCCCAAATCCACATCTCTTGCTTGTGGGGGAGCCATCCTCAGCACATCGGCCCTACCCAACCCACAGTAGATACCAACATCCCTATGATGGATGAGCTATGGTGGAGTCCCCCCAACCCCAGAGTGAGAATTGGCCCCCGATGGGGACTTAGGGAGGGCTGAGTTGGCGAGCTGTGGGAGGTCATCATCAGTGGGGCTCAAGCTCTCCCCTCCAAGCTCCAAGGATCTCTGCAGCCACAGGACGCATTCCTTCTCCACTTAGATCTTGTCTGTGAAGTATCCAATTGCCTTCCATTTCTACTTGGTGTAGAATGTAGGGGGCAATGAATGAAACTGCCGCATATTGCAGAGGGTCCATGTCCAAGCACAGGCAGTTGTAACGGTAGTAGCCACACCACCAGTACCTGTGGTTCCTGCTAGCCCCTCCACTGCCCAGGCCAGACAGTGTCAGTCTGGCAGATGTACCCCCAAGGACTCTCCCTCATGGTGTCTGCTCCTCTGCCCCACCCTTCTGATCTCACAGCTTCTCCTTAGGTGACATTCACACTTTAGACAAAGTTGTTTGGTCCCCTGATTATGATCTCCTTTACTTGCTGTCAGCTCTGCCTGGGAAGAGGTCTATGCTCAGTTCCAGGATACATGGAAAAGGCAGTGGATGGGCAGGTACAGTCTTGGGCTTTACCATGAACTGTGTTGTTTAGTCAAGTTGTTTAACCTCCACTCTGTTCATCTTGTATATATGGGTGGGGGGTGAAGACTATGAGCCCACAGGTCTGCTTCTGTGCTCACTGTAACAGATTCCTAAGTGCAAGTCCCTGAAACAGGATCACAGTACACAACATTAACATAAGAGGGTACATTATGCACGGTACAGCTTTCCTTGAGGTTCTAGAGAATGCAAACCTTAACATTAACAAGTACCAAACCTCTGCTGAAAAATCCTCTAATGAATTTCAAGGTTAAATATAAATAAACTGTGGGATTGTTCTGCCTAGAGTAGCCACACCCTCCTCGGGGGTCCCACAGTCCACAGGCTCAAACTCCTCATCCAACAGTTACATGCTCCACCAACTTTCAGACTGTCTCTCCCAGTAGGCAGTGAGCCCCTAGAAGGCAGGGACTATGTAACGGTGACCTGGCAACTTTGTTGAACAGCTGCTCCTATCAGGATCAGTTCGTAAAAAGCCAAGCACTGCTCAGCCTTTTATTATGCCTCTTACTGATTTATGCCTTCATTTGGCATTCAAGAACTTGCTCCAATAGTGCCAAACAGTTGGGAGATATTTACTACAAATTATTAAAACTGCAGTCTATCCTCTGAACCAACTGTGCTCAATCCCACCACACATCTTGCTGCTCCCTAACTTCTAGCTGCTTGGAAAGTCTCATTTTCTTCATCTACTCAAATCATACACATCCCTCGGGTTCCATGCAAAGTTCCATCTCATTCATGAAACTCCCTGACCACTGGGATATCTGGCCCATGAACTTGAGCAAACTATTTCTTCTGCATCTCATTTGGCATTTGAGGAGGGACTGTTCTCTGACGTCTCCTGGTATGCCTCACAGAGTCAGTAAAGTGTTTCCAGACCTATAGGTACCACCCCATATTGTTAGCTCTTTGAGGATACACACTAGGTTATACTTTTCTGGTTCTCCACCCTAAGCACCCAAAAGGCAGATGGTAGGTACATCTCAGCTCCAAAGAGACTGCTGAAGACTGAATGAATTAATGACACACAGAGAAACTGACCCTGGTGACCAGCCTGGGCCAGTTCACTCACGTGACTGTGGGGGCTGGCAAGTACATAATTTTCAGGTTAGACTGGCAGGCTGGAGACCCAGGGAAGAGCTGACACTGCAGCCTGAGGCCACAGGTAGCAGTGTTGCTGGGTTGCTGCATTCTTTACTGTGAGATTTAGAAAAACTGTCATTATCATTATCCTAATATTGTCAAAACTTGTAGGCAGCCTATTTGCTGTTTTTGGTTCTTATTGTTAGTGTGTTGTTATTCCTGTGGAAATCATAATTGTGCAGCGTTTTGATATCTATGAATTCAAAAACTTAAACAGAATATTAAGAACAAACTAATAATAAAGTGACAAACTTTGGATACCTTTTTAACATTGTTTCTAAATATTGTAAACATGAATCTTCTGGACCTCAGAGGGAACAAGGAAGCAATGATATTAATAATGAATCATAATCTGGAACACCTGATATTGTACACAAACTATAACAACTGGAAATGCCTTTGCAACTGCATAAGAGTTAGTTCAAAGAAACAATAATTTGCATTTCTAAAATTTAAAAAATCCCCAATAACTTTTGACAAAACTCACAGATGGCTTATTATTGCTAGCAATGTAAATATTGGATGCAAATCATGCTCAAAAGCTGTGTGAATAGCCAAAAGTGCTAAGCACATTCTGTCAGTGCTCATAATTCAAGGAAAACATTAGCAAAATTCAAAGAAAAAAACTTGAAAAATATTAAGAACAGCTTTGTACAATAAAGTATTTGAAAAAAGCAACAAACAGTGGAAAAATGCCATCAGATGTTAGTATACAGTTTACCCAAATGTGTAATTAAATAGAGCATTTTACATCATTAAGTAGAGGCTTTTAAACAATTATACATAGTGCATATCATTGCAGTATAGATTAATGGTTCTGCTGGTTGCAAACCATATTCTACATAAGACAACTTTTGGAAAATTTATTAATCCAAGCAATAAATCATTATCAGTGAAGTGTCAACCATTTCACAAAATGTATTTAAGTTTTAGTTCCTTAAATACTAAATGTAAGACTTACAGGAAAATGGGTTTTTGTTGATCTGAGGAACTTATACCAACCTTACTCATCAGTGCCCAAGAAAAATAGCTTTAATGTGAGACAGTTGTATGATGGTACAGATAGTGCCAGTATATGCAACGAAGAAAGTTCAGGTTTCACCAAAATTTTGCAAAATTTCGGGGTTTAAAAATCTGTTTATCGCAGAAGTCACATTGACTGTCTCACATTTACTCTTCCTCGTGTCCTGATCCTGCTGACTTGTCCACATGGGCAACTACGAAGCTGGCACAACTATACTTCTTTGTTCACTTTGGTCACCACCATTTGTTCTGCTGTTGGGCTGCCCATGTGTAGGCAGGTTTCACGAAAATATCAGGTTCCCTAAGCAACATGAACTGGGAGGCTCAGAGAGGGATTTCCCTAGTCACTGACTTACTGAGGGATTGACTCAAGATTCCCAGGCACTAGACAGAAGCAGTCGGGAAAGGAATCATTTCCTGATTGCCTGTGGGGGAAAAAGAAACTTTTTTGGATAGAACAGTCTGGATGGACTCTAACACAGTAAAAAGTGAAGGCAGTGCATTCTTCAGAAGGGCGGCAGATGGGGCACCACGCATCCCCACAGAGGGGCTGTCCTGCGGTCCTTGCAGGAGTTGCCAGGCTCCCAAAATCTCCTCCTGCTGCTATCCCCACCCTGCCTGAAAAGAGGTGAGGAGGATGATGGGGAGGGAGTCAAACAGACTTGGGATAGGAGGAGTGAGTGCGCTGGTAAAACCAATTACTTAGCTAAACCTTTGGCTAAAACTCTAGGAAGGGAGGCACAAAATGGGAAAGTGTGGGTTTTTTTTTTTTGCTTCTCTAGGTGAAGGTTTAAATTAACTTCAGCATGGGTAAAACTATTCTTTCCTTCTTTTTTCTCTCCCAGAGTTCTCACCACCTCCTCCCAGGCTAAATCCTTCATGTTGCAGGAGACAGAGAATCCCAGGTGAGACCCGGACTTTTTCTCCTCCCTCCCTTCCTTTTTTCACCGTGTTCAGGATAAATTATCTTGGTTTTGTTTCTGGAGGGAAAAGGGCAGAGAGGCCCTGACTTGAATCTCAATCACATTTCTGCACACAGTACCTGAGGAGACAGAATAGCAGAGGGGTGGGAACAATTAACATTGCTTTATGGGCTTTAGAATGGAGAAAAAATAATTCCCACTCTTTTTTCTTTTACCCAAATCCAACTTCAGTTTTCTCTCCAACTCTCTAAAACCACCACCAATACTATTATCACATCATGTGTAGCTACTTGGGGGGTGGTGAAAGGCTGAGTACGCATCATGTTCAGGTAGTAGGGTGTTAAACGAAATAGTTCCTCACAGCAATGCCCAAAGTCATCCTTGGTCACAATAAAGGAGAATAAAGGGAAAAAAGTATGATTATTGTATTAGATTGTGGGGTTGCAGGTGAGTTTTTTTTTTCCATTTTAAAAATTATTTTGTGGTTATAATGATGATGTCAATTTTTAAAAAAATAAAAGAATGGAAAAAGTTGACTTGGGATTTCATAATGCAAAGAAAAAAGCAAAACAAAAAAGAACAACAAAAAGCAAACAAAACAGATTTACATGTAATACCTAATTTAATCCCTTCATAACTCTGTGAAGTGGGTCAGTATTGACGGGTCAGCTTAACTAACAGATATTAGGAATGAGATCCAAAACAACCAGCCATGGTCGCACAGTTTGTGGAACCCAGGTTCTTTGACACTCAGCCCAGTGTTCCACCTGCAATGGCAACCTAAGTGAGGAGGGGGCCTCAGAGATGAGGTGGTCGACCCTTACAATGTTGATATTCTCCATGCTTTCTCAGAGCAAGTGGCTGAATCTCTTTCGTGACAGAGAACTCACCACCTACCAAGGCAGCCCATTTTATTAAGTCTAACTTTTAAAAAAGATACTTATGATGAGCACAATTCTGTCTCTCTCATACTCTATGGAAACGACCAATTTCTGACCTCTATGTCACAAAG
This sequence comes from Homo sapiens, assembly GCF_000001405.40. Lineage (NCBI taxonomy): Eukaryota > Metazoa > Chordata > Mammalia > Primates > Hominidae > Homo > Homo sapiens. The sequence continues at coordinate 1,622,997 of NT_167244.2, forward strand.
AGTAAGTTTAGTTCTTCACATAATAGCCCTCCAAATATTTGAAATCTCTAGTCATAGCCAGATATATTGCATCAAAATAAATGGCTATTTTCTGCAGGAGGGTTGGTCCAAATGTCCTAGCCTACCATTACCTGAAGCAAGAAGTCCTCCCTATTTTTTGAAGAACTATATTTATTTGCTCAAATCATATTTATTAGGGGCCTGCTATCTGCCAGGCAGTGGGGATGCAGCGATACACAGGTCAAATAGGCATTTGGAGTGTGGAAGTGGGTGCCCACCCTAGTCGGGGAGCATCTCAGGATGTCCTCCTCAAGGAGATGACATGTCAACTGAGCCCAGAGGACAACAGGAGTTGACAGGGAAGAGTATTTCCTAGAGCGAGAAACTGGAGGCAGCTGTAGTGAGGTGCTGATGGGTTCTGGCCACCACCTGGACCACCTAGATTTGATGTTTCTCCACCCCCACTTAGTTGTGTGACCCTGGACAAGTTCCTCACCCACTACGTGCTTTAGAACCCTCACTGTGAAATGGGAGATGTGATAGGAATGTTGTGAGGATTGTTTGAGTGAATACATGCAAAGGACTTAGGACAAGCCTGGCACATAGTTAATGCTCAATCAATGTTTTCTCTCGCAACTGGAGGGAAACAAGGTAGTGGGCAGGAAGGGGGAGTGCGCAGACAGTTCCTGCTAAGCCTTGTAAGTTACCATGGCCCAGCACTGTAACCAGAGAAGTGAGGATGAGACTTCCACTTTGAGAAAGGCCTCTCTGGCCGCAGCATGTAAAGGAATGGGAGGGGATTAGAATGTGTGTGCACGGACTAGGTGGGAGCTAACTGCAGGGCCAGCATCTGTGGCACAGATTATCTCTCTTCATCCTGAACCCCTCCCTCTTCCCGTCTCGAATCCTTTTCCCACTCCTGACCACATCCTCCACCTGTCAGAAAGTCACAGTTAAGGAAGAGATTTCCGAGCACACCTTGGACAGAAGTCATGATGATGGGGCCCATGACTGGCAACCTGCTGGGAGAGGTGGCCTGCAGTGTGTCTGGAGTACATGGGGGACCCCGGGAGCATCTTCTGTGTCTGTGGCCCCTGGCAGGCCTGCATCACTTGGTGCTATGCCACTATCAGATCCACCACAGGAGCCATGTGCTATTCATTCCACAAGGAGCCCTTTCAACAGGGAGACATCAGGCCCAACTGGATTCTAGCCACCTTGGTCTCCAGTCTCCTACTCTCAAGCCCATGAGTGACAATTCAGCACAGGAAATTTGGTTCTGTGAGCAGCATCTATTGGCAGGATGACCAGCAATTCTTGTGTGTGGTTTGCAAAGATCTTAACGGAGAACAAATGTTACTTAGTGCTGCAGAAGGAGAACAATGCTAGGTTCCACAAGGTAGTCTGTCCTTTTGCTGTCTTGTCTACACCAGAGAACCTTTGGTTGACTTGCTTTAATATTGGCTTCAGTCCTATTACAAAACAACAACAAATTATTGTATTCTAAACACAGTTCTAAATGCAACAATAGTTTATCTTTTAATCCTGGATTATACAGTTTACAATTACTTGCAAATGCATAGTACCTCACTCCAAAAAACCTCAGGCATCCAGGCATCACAATTTCTCTATCTGCATGACACAGAAACTTCCATGTCACTAGAGGATTTCACAATCCATATATGAATCCCCTGAAGACTTCTTGGTGTGAAGGAAACATCACTGGACACAACACTGAAAATGGCAATAGTCCAGGCATGGTGGTTCATGCCTGTAATCCCAGCACTTTGGGAGGCTTACGCGGGTAGATCACCTGAGGTCAGGAGTTTGAGACTAGCCTGGCCAACACAGTGAAACCCCATTTCTACTAAAAATACAAAAATTAGCCAGGTGTGGTGGTGCATGCCTGTAGTCCCAGCTACCAGCGAGGCTGAGGCAGGAGAATCACTTGAATCCCGTAGGCTGAGGTTCTGGTGAGCTGAGATCACGCCACTGCACTCCAGCCTGGGCAACAGAACGAGACTCCGTCTCAAAAAAAAAAAAAAAGGCAACAAAAGCCCTGGATAGATAGGGTTTTTTTAGGTGAGCTATAACATCTGGGCAAATAAAAACACTATGTTATTCCTAGAAAAATTATAGAAATCTAACTTAACCTTGTCAACATGGGGATTCATTATCTTATTTAGCAAACTAAAGGAACAATAATGTAACTGCACCTCAGGTACAACTGGAACCAGGGATTTGAATGCAACTAAGACTTCCCATCTTTTATTTTCTCTTCTCTAGATTAGCTCAATTTTTTGCAACACATTTCCTGTATGAACTATAACTATAGCCATTTCTAGATTAATACCTCTTGTCAGCAAAGCAAGACAGAGGTATTCTCTGGTCATGAAGAAAATTCCAGAAAAGAGCTCTGAATCAAAGGCCAAAATCCTGGCATATCTGGTGCTGTGCAGAGCTGAGAGACTGGCTGAAGAGTGTGCCAGCAGTAAGCTATCCTAGGCATAGGGCCTGACTAGAAATCAAAGACCCTAATGTAGCAGTATTGCATCATCTATAGCCTAGATTATGCTGCAATGATATACAACTCCCGTATCTCACTGGTATAAACCAAAAAGATTTCTTTTACATGCTACCTGTTCATCAGGAGTTGCTGAGGGGGTCACTTGGAGATCCAGGCTCGCCAAGCAGCCACTGTCTTCAGCACCAGCTAATGCCCTGCTAGTGGGCAAAGAGGGAGCTCTGGAAGAACATAAACCAGCAGTTAAATTCCCAGTCCAGAAGAAATACATATCACCCCTACTAACACCTCATTACAGGGCACAGATGATGACAATAATGACCTCTCAGGCTTAAGGACCCTTCAACTCTGAGAGAGGGTATCTAGTGGTCACCTAGCTACTATCCTGTCTTTCCCTCAGGCAGAAGTGGGTGTGGTTTCCAACACCCCCAGCTGTGTCCCGGTCCGTGACAACAAAATCTTTGTAATCTAAAGTTTGAAGCATTTCAGAGGTCAGAAGGGTGTTTGCTGTTACGACTCTTGCTCTCACTTCTACCTGACAAGAGAGAAGAATTTGTATAGACTGTTAGACATGTTACTATTTTTTGAAAGCACTAGGTATTTGGGACAAGGTCAACATGTTTCCCTATCAGAAATCACTCATAGATATGTTCTTTGAGGTCAGGAATTCTATGAAATAAAAATAAAGAAAATTATTGAGCCTCTCTTGGATGCCAGCACCATGCTCAGTGCTTTCATTTTTTTCAGTATACTCACATTACTGATTATCCTTCATTTTACTTATGATCAAAGCAAGAGTTGAAGGAATGTCCTTGGTTCAAGGCTACACCTTAGGAGACACAGTCAGAATTTAAATCCAGCTTTCTTTCATTTGAAAGACTGTGCTCTGTGCTGGACCACACTGTACAGTTTTTAAAGTGATCTAACAACGACAGCATCCATCAGTGAACTCTGAGTCTACCAAACAGAAATTGCTCTTAATGGGTTCATCTAATGGCAGGGCCGGCTCAAGGCAAAATTTTTTGCCCCCATCCCTCTTTTTCATTCGACACGATTTTGCTGTATCATCCAGGCTGGACTGCAGTGGCGTGGTCACAGCTCACTGCAGCCTCAAACTCCTGGCTCAAATGATCCTCCCTCCTTATCTTCCTGAGTAGCTGGGACTATGGGCGCATGCCACCATACCTGCTAATGTTTAAAATTTTTGTAAAGATGGGGTCTCACTATGTTCCCTAAGATGGTCTCAAATTCCTGGCCTCAAGCAATCCTCCTGCCGCAAATCTCCTGAAGTGCTGGGATTATAGGTAGAAGCCACAATGCCCAGTCCCCTTCTCCCTGATTAAAAATATATTTTTTTATTTTTTTTCACTATTCAACTTCCATTTTAGGTTCAAGGGGTACATGTGTAGGTTCGTTATATGGGTAAATTACAATGTTGTGGGGGTTGTGTATACAGATAATTTTGTCGCCCAGGTAATCAGCATAATACCCAAAAGGTAGTTTTTAAGTCTTCACCCTCCTTTCACCCTCCACCCTCAAGTAGGTCCTGGTGTCTGTTGCTCCCTTGTGTCCATGTGTACTCGATGTTTAGCTCCCATTTAAAAGTGACAACATACAGTATTTGGTTTTCTGTTCCTGCATTAATTGTCTTAAGGAATGGCCTCCAGCTCCATCCATGCTGCTGCAAAGGACATCATGTCATTCTTCGTGGTTGTGTAGTATTCTATTCCACGGTGTATATGTACATTTTCTTTTTTTTTTTTTTTTGAGACAGAGTCTCGCCTTGTCACCTAGGCTGGAGTGCAATGGCGCGATCTCGGCTCACTGCAACCTCTGCTTCCCAGGTTCAAACGATTCTCCTGCCTTGAGTAGCTGGGATTACAGGCACCTGCCACCATGTCCAGCTAATTTTTGTATTTTTAGTAGAGACAAGGTTTCACCATGTTGGCCAGGCTGGTCTCAAACTCCTGACCTCGCCGAACTCCACCCGAATCGGTCTCCCAAAGTGCTAGGATTACAGGCGTGAGCCACCGAACCTGGGCATCTAGGTTGATTCCGTATCTTTGCCATTGCGAATAGTGCCGCAGTGAACATACATGTGCGTGTGTCTTTAGGTAGAACTATTTATATTCCTTTGGGGATATACCCAGTAAAGGGATTGCTGGGTTAAACGGTAGTTTTAAGTTCTCTGAGAAATTTCCAGACTGCTTTCCACAATGGCTGAACTAATTTACATTCCCATTTGCAGTGTATAAGCATTCTCTTTTTTCTGCAACCTCATCAGCATCAGTTAGTTTTTGACTTTTTTAATAATAGCCTTTCTGACTGGTGTAAGATGGTATCTCATTGTGGTTTTGATTTGCATTCCCCTAATTAGGGATATTAAGCATTTTTTTTCTTATGTTTCTTTTGAAAAGTGTTCATGTCCTTTGCCCATTTTTTAATGGGGTTCTTTTTTGCTTACTAAGTTCCTTATAGATTCTGGTTATTAAACCTTTGTCAGATGCACAGTTTGCAGATGTTTTCTCCCATTCTGTAGGCTGTTTACTCTGTTGACAGTTCCATTTTCTGTGCAGGAGTTCTTTAGTTTAATTAAGGCTTATTTGGCAATTTTTGGTTTTGTTGCAGTTGCTTTTGGAGTCTTCATCATGAAGTCTTTGCCAGGGCTGATGCTCAAAATGGTATTTCCTAGGTTTTCTTCTAGTATTTTCATAGTTTTAGGTTTTACATTTAAGTCTTTAATCCACTTTGAGTTGATTTTTATATATGGCGAAAGATAGGGGTTCAGTGTCATTCTTCTGCCTATGGCTATCCAGTTATCCCAGCACCATTTATTGAATAGGGAGTTCTTTCCCCATTGCTTGTTATTGTCAATTTTGTCAAAGATCAGATGGTTTTAGGTATGTGGCTTTATTTCTGAGTTCTCTAATCTGCTCCATTAGTCTATGTGTCTGTTTTTGTACCAGTGCCATGCTGTCTTAGTTACTGTAACCTCATAATTTGAAGACAGGTAGTGTGATGCCTCCAGCTTTGTTCTTTTTGCTTAGGATTGCTTTGGCTATTTGGGCTCCTTCTTGGTTCCATATGAATTTTTGAATTTTTTTTCCTAACTCTGTGAAAAATGTCATTGGTAGTTTGACACTGAATCTGTAAATTGCTTTGACTAGTATGGCAGTTTTAACAACAATATTAATTCTTCCTATCCAGGAGCATGGAATGTTTTCCCATTGGTGTAATCTGATTTCTTTGGGCAGTGTCTTGTAAAATTCTCATTGCAGAGATTGTTTACCTCTTTGGCTAGCTGTATTCCTAGGTATTTTATTCTTCTTGAGGCTACTGTGAATGAAACTGCATTCTTCACTTGGTTCTCGGTTTAGATGTTATTGGTGTATAGAAATGCTACTGATTTTTGTAAACTTATTTTGTATCCTGAAACTCTGCTGAAGTTCTTTTTCAGATCTAGAAGCCCTCAGGAAGAGACCATGGAGTTTTCTAGGTATAGAATCATTATCTATGAAGAGAGATAATTTGACTTCCTCTCTTCCTATTTGGATGCCTTTTATTTCTTTCTCTCACTTGACTGCTCCAAATAGAACTTCCAGTACTATGTTGAATAGGAGTAGTGAGAGTGGGCATCCTTGTCTTGTTCCAGTTCCTAAAGAGAATACTTCTAGCTTTTGCCAATTCAGTATTATGTTGGCTTTGGGTTTGTCAGAGATAGCTTTTATTATTTTGAGGACTATAACTTCAAACCTAGTTTGTTGAGGGTTTTTAACATGAATGAATGTTTAATTTTACCAAAAGCCTTTTCTGCATCTATTAAGGTATCATGTGGTTTTTGTTTTTAGTTCTCTTTATGTGATGAATCACATTTATTGATTTGGGTAAGTTGAGCCAACTCTGCACTCCAGGGATAAAGCCTACTTGATCACAATGGATTAGCTTTTTGGTGTGTTGCTGGATTTCATTTGGTAGTATTTTGTGGAGGATTTTTGCATATATGTTCATCAGGGATATTGGCCTGAAGTTCTTTTTTTCTGTTGTGTCTCTGCCAGGTTCTGGTATCAGAATGATGTTGGTCTCACAGACTGAGTTAGGGAGGTGTCCCTCTTTCTCAATTTTTTGGAATAGTTTTGGTAGGAATGATACCAGTTCTTCTTTATATGTCTGGTAGAATTTGGCTGTGAATCCATCTGGTCCAGGACTTTTTCTGGTTAGTAGGCTTTTTATTACTGATTCAATTTTGGAACTTGTTATTGGTCTGTTTGGGGTTTCAATTTCTGGTTCAATCTTGGGAGGTTGTATGTTCCCAGGAATTTATCCATTCTTCTAGGTTTTCTAGTTTGTGTGCAGAGGTGTTCATAATAGTCTCCAAGCGGTTTTTGTATTTTTGTGTGGTCAGTGACAACGTCCCCTTTGTCATTCCTGATTGTGTTTATTTAGATTATCTCCCCCCTCCTTTTTTTATTAGTCTAGTTAGTGCCTATCAACCTTATTTATTCTTTCAAAGAACCAACTTTTGCTTTCTTTGATTTTTTGTACGGTTTTTCTCATCTCCATTTTGTTCAGTTCAGCTCTGATTTTGGGTATTCTCTTCTGCTAGCTTTGGGGTTGGTTTGCTCTTGTTTATTTAGTTCCTCTAGATGTGATGTTAGGTTGAGATCTATCTTTTTGATGTGGGCATTTAGCACTATAGTTTTCCCTTAACACTGCTTTAGCTGTGTCCCAGATTCTGGTATGTTTTTATCTTTGTTTTCATTAGTTGTAAACAATTTCTTGATTTCTGCCTTAATTTCTCTTTGTTTACCCAAGTCATTCAGGAGTAGATTAATTTCCACTTAATTATATGGTTTTGAGAGATCTTCTTGGTATTTATTTTTATGGCACTGTGGTCCAAGAGTGTGGTTGGTATTTCAGGGTTTTTTTGTTTTTTTGAGATGAGTCTCACTCTGTCAACCAGACTGGAGTGCAATGGCGTGATCTCAGCTCACTGCAACCTCCTCCTCCCAGGTTCAAGCAATTCTCGTGACTCAACCTCCGAAGTAGCTGGGATTACAGGCGCATGCCACCATGCACGGCTAATTTTTATATTTTTTAGAAGAGATGGGTTTTTGCCATGTTGGCCAGGCTGGTCTCAAACTCTTGACCTCAAGTGATTTGCCCACCTCAGCCTTCCAAAGTGTTGGGATTACAGGTGTGAGCCACTACACCTGGCCGGTATTTCAGGTTTCTTGAATTTGTTGAGAATTGCTTTCTGGCCAATAAAGCAATTGTGGTCGATTTTAAGAGTATGTACCATGTGCAGCTGAAAAGAATGTATATTCTGTTTTTGTTGGACAGAGAGTGCTGTTTTTTGTTTTCCATTTGCTTGATAGATCTTTCTCCATCCCTTACTTTGAGGCTATTGGTGTCCCTGCATATGAGATGGGTCTCTTGAAGACATACAGTTGGGTCTTGCTTCTCTGTCCAACTTGCCACTCTCTGCCTATTAATTGAGGCATTTAGCTCATTTACATTCAAGGTTAATATTGATATGTGCAGATTTGATCCTATCATCATGTTGTTATTTGGCTGTTATGTAGACTTCATTGTTTACTTGCTTTATAGTGTCAATGGTCTATGTACTCGAGTATATTTTTGTGATGGCCAGTATTGGTCTGTACATCTCAGGGTGGCTTAAAGCACTAGGAGAAAGCATGCAAAACAGCCCAAGGTGAAGCTCACTTGGCAGCTGAGAGTGAGTTCACACCATGTACTCTAAAATGAGGAGGTGCTCTTTTCTTCTCACTCTAATTAAAGAAGACTGAGAAGCCCTTCAGCACTTCACTGTGCCCCCTGCTGCCCTGCACCTCCCGGCTACTTTGTGGTAGATTCCTGGCACTTGAACTCTCTACAGGCCCAGGAGAGAACAGCTTTCTTGAGGTCCTAAGGATACCTGAGAATCATTCTCAGAGTTAATGGAATCTTCTATATTTTCTGTGGATTTTGATTATCTACTTTTTTTCTAACTTCTGTGAGATTAGAGAATTGAAAGCCTGTCATATCACTGGAACTCAGTTAAAATGTGGTGTCTTCTCCAATATTGTCCAACTAGAAGATGTGGGAATCCCAACTGATATAAGAACTAAGAAATATGACTACAAACTAAAGGGAAAATAAGAGAAGAACTTAAAGAATATTTGGGAGTTTTAGGGAGGTCATAACTGTAATGAGCTAATGTCATCCATATGTCCAAGGGAAAGTGAATCTGAATTTACAGGGCAACTTCCGTGGGCCAGGTTCCTTCACACATAATTTCAAGTCATGCTAAAATGAATGCATCCAAGGAAAATTTTATCATACATAACTTATGATAAGGAAACTTATGCTTAGGAAGATTAATTAGGAGGTTAAGGTCACCAAGCCTCTAGACTGTTTCGCCAGGACCCAACCCAGGTCTGGCTTCTGTTTGGTTTTGGAGTATGTGTTATCCCCACTCCATCATGCTGCCTCTCCAACCTGCAGCCCAGTGCCCAGGGCACAGGGGTCAGGCCAAGATCAGAAGGGACACTAACACCAACAGGCCTGGCGAGGTGGGAAGTACAGGGAAGGGGTGACTCCAGCTTACTCTTCTCTCCCTCCCAGAGGGACCATCAGGGCCATTGGCACTGTTGGGTGATAGAAGTTGTAAATACGGGGTAAGGTACATGGATGACACCATCTCCATATGTGTATGTGATAGAGTGGCAGGCCAGAAGTTAATAGCCACATCCAGGGAGCCAAGGATATAGTTCCCAGTAACGGCGCTTGCGTTCTGCTCTCAGGGCTGATGAAAGAGGATGGAAGTTGTACTCTGTTCCTCTACTTCAATAGAAAGTAAGCTAAAAGGAGAAACTGGGAGACAGAGGTTTACAAAAGGAAATTTATAATGGGGTCATATCAAGATAATTCAAGAGGGAAAATAAGACAAGGTGGCTCCTTCCCTGAATTGGTGACACAACACTAATCACTGTCCCCACAGAGTGGCTGGGCCTGACCCCAACTACAGGAGCTCAGCTGTCTCTACCCTCTGAGGGTAGACAGGAAGCAGTGGTCATGCTACTGCAGCCTAATGACTTGAGATTAGAATTGGCC